>NC_000007.14:152034137-152185652 GCF_000001405.40 Homo sapiens
TTTGTGGTTCTTTGGAGATTTCTTTGCTTATTTCCTTCTGGGCAGGGGAGATTAGAGGAGGCTTATCATTAATAGGAAGGGTAGCTATAGGGAGGATAGGATATGGGGGTAAGCTGAGAGGTCCTCCTATGGGATGTAAATTGCAAACTTTGCATAGTTGTGTATTCTCCTTCAATGAAAAGAAAGCTTGGACATAAGGTGTTTCACTCCATTTGCCTTCCCTCTTACAGAAAAGGTCAAGCTTCAGGATAGTATTGTAATTTATACTTCCCTCAGGTGGCCATTTTTCCCCATCAGAGAGAGAATATGGGGGCCAGGCCATAGTGCGGTAAAAATGAGCCACCTCTTTTTCAGGGTTTGCGGGTCAAATTGGTCCCAGTGGCTTAGGATGCATTTCAAGGGTGAGCCTGTTGATGCCTGATTGTTTCCCATCTGAAAGACAAAACCGCCCGCAGTTTTGGTTTGTTTGTTTCTCCCCCTGCCCAAGAACCCACAATGGTCCCTGAACCCTGCTGATCGGAATAGTTGCACTCACCGATGCAGCAGCAGAAACACCTCTTGCCCAAGAACCCACAACGGTCGGTCCCTGGACCCTGCGGATGGGAATAGTTGCACTCACTGACGCAGCAGCAGAAACACTAGTTTTCCTCCTAGACCACAAGGAGGACCGAGGAAGGTCGGATTTAGTGGCCCTTACCAATGCATTCTCAAAAATCTGCACCCTTGCCTGTCCTCCTAGACCACAAAGAGGACCGAGAAAAATTGGATTTAGTGGCCCTTACTGATGCATTCTCGAAAACCTGTTAGGGTCCTAAGCATTCTCCAGTTAGTATTGGGACTTTACCCCTCCTGTAAAGATGTTATGCCCCAAAAATGAAGTGGAGGGCCATATCCTGAGGGAGGGGAGGGATCTCCAGAGTTGGAAGAGTGATGCCTTTTTGTCCGCACTTATATGAATACAAGAATGTCATTTCTGAAGCTCCCCGTATCCTAGCTTCTGGAATAGCTTTTGTTAGGCCTGCTAGTCTGAGGAGGGATCCTAAAATTCCGGATAAGACAGTCCCCCACCCTGATGGGGCTTTGGGCAAAAATTATGTCTTTCTAATTGGTGAGCCCGGGTGCCTAAAGAAGGTTAACAGAGTCCTGGAGTTTATACTAGAAATGATTCTTACAGGAGAAACTAGAAAAGCACCAGAGACAGGGAGTGGTTTCCAGAAGCGGGACTAGCCTCAGAGAAGAGAGGCAAGAGAAAGTTTTTCTGACAAGCATTAGGACCCAGGAGGCAAGGGTCAGGATAGGTAGGATAGATGGGCGAGTCTCGCTTGGGCAACATGACTTCGAGAGTTCTGCTCATGGCCACAGGGTCAACCAACTTGTTGTCAGGACCCCGGAGCTGAATGGCTTTCCTCTCTGTCGACCCTCGGCTCAGCCCGGAAGTACAGGAAAAGCGGAAAGCTGGTTCCAGGCAAACCAACACTCCCAACTCCGAAGAGTCAGGGGTTGTTAGAGAGCCCTATCCCGGAAAGCCTGACACCCGTGTCTTTAGTCCAGCGGCTGTGCTAGTCAGTTTTAACTGGCCGCTAGTCACTTTTAACTGGCCGACAGGTGCCTGGTATTTAGCCACCGAATTCTAAGGGAAAACAGGACAGAATAGCAAGTGAAAGGGGTCAGATGGTACTCACTGCTTGGCAATAGCGTCAGCCCCAAGTGAGGATGGGGAAGGGGTTTTACAGTCCTCTATAAGCAGGAATTGTCCCAGTCTGATGTGGCTGCTGCGTAGTGCCCGCTGGCCTCCCTCTTGATCTTCAGGGGGTGTCTTCTGCCCAGCTCTCTTCTTGCTTCTGCTAACTTGCTGATGCATGCTGCTGGCGCAACTGTCCTTGCGCATTTGGACTGGGCTTGAAGAGGGAGGAAGTATTCATTCCCTTAAGCTTTCAGGCTTGGGGGAGAATCTTTCACAACCCAATGATACTCTTTTAAAGTTACTTTAAAATGTGCAATAAAGTTTTGTTGACTGTAGTCATGCTGTTGTGCTATCAAATACTAGATCTTATGCATTCTATTTAACTATATTTTTGTATACATTAACTGTCTCTCCCCTCACTCCCTTCTCAGCCTCTGGTAACCATTATCTAGTCTCTCTCTCCGTGAGTTCAATTGTTTTAATTTTTAGCTTCCACAAATAAGTGACAACAGGCAAAGTTTGTCATTCTGTGTACCTGGCTTATTTTACTTAACATAATGACCTCCAGTTCTATCCCTGTTGTTGCAAATGATGGGATCTCATTCTTTTTTTATGGCTGAATAGTACTCCATTGTGTATATGTACCATGTTTTCTTTATCCATTCATTTGTTGATGGACATTTAGGTTGCTTCCATATCTTGGCTATTGTGAACAGTGCTGCAGGAAACATGAGACTGCAGACCTCTTTGGTATACTGATTTCCTTTCTTTTGGGTATATACTATGAGTGGGATTGCTGAGTCACGTGGTAGCTCTATTTTTAGTTTTTGGGGATCCTCCAAACTGGTCTCCATAGTGCTTGTACTAATTTACATTCCCACCAATGGTGTATGAGGATTCCCTTTTCTCCACATCCTCACCATCATTCATTATTGCCTGTCTTTTGGATATAAGCCATTTTAACTGGGGTGAGATGATATCTCCTTGTAGTTTTGTTTTGCATTTCTCTGATCAGTGATGTTGATCACCTTTTCATACACCTGTTTGCTATTTGTATGTCTTATTTTGAGAAATGTCTATTCAGACCTTTGCTCATTTTTTAATAGGATTATTAGATTTTTTTCCTATAGCATTGTTTGAGTTTCTTATGTATTCTGGTTATTCATCCCTTGCCAGATGGATAGTTTGCAAATACTTTCTCCTGGTCTCTAGGTTTCTCTTCACTTTGTTGTTCCTTTGTTGTACAGAAGCTTTTTAACTTGATGTGATACCATTTGTCCATGTATGCTGTGGTGGGGTATTACTCCAGAAATCTCTGCCTAGTTCAATGTTCTGGAGATTTTCTCCAGTGTTTTCTTTTAGTAGTTTCATAGCTTGAGGTCTTAAGTCTTTAATTCATTTCAATTTGATTTTTGTGTATAGTGAGAGATAGGGATCTAGTTTCATTCTTCTGCATATGTATATCGAGTTTTCGCAGCACCATTTATTGAAGAGACTCTCCTTTTCCCAATGTATGTTCTTGGCACTTCTGTCAAAAATGAGTTCGCTGTAGATGTATGGATTTGTTTCTGGGTTCTCCATTCTGTTTCATTGGTCTGTGTGTCTGTTTTTATGCTGGTGCCATGCTATTTTGGTTACTATAGCTCTTTAGTATAATTTGAAGTTGTAATTTGGGGTTAGATAATGTGAAGTCAAGTAATGTCATTCCTTCAGTTCTGTTGTTTTTGCTCAGATAGCATAGGCTATTCTGGGTCTTTTGTTATTCCATATAAGTTTTAGGATTTTTTTTTTCTATTTCTGTGAAGAATGTCTTTGGTTCATTGGTATTTTGATAGGGATTGCATCGAATCTGTAGGTTGCTTTGGGTGGTGTGGACATTTTAACAGTATTGATTCTTCCAGTTGGTGAATGTGGAACATCTTTCTTTTTGTGCGTGCATGTCTTCAATTTTTTTTTTCCTTCCTTTTGAGAGAGTCTTGCTTTGTCACCCAGGTTGGAGTGCACTGCTGTGATCTTGGCTCACTGCAACCTCCACCTCCTGGGTTCGCATGATTCTCCTGCCTCAGCCTCCTGAGGAGCTGGGATTACAGTTGCCCACCACCACACCCGGCTAATTTTTGTAATTTTAGTAGAGATGGGGGTCTCTCCATGTTGGTCAGGCTGGTCTCGAACTCCTGACCTCAGGTGAGCTGCCTGCCTCAGCCTCCCAAAGTGCTTGGATTACAGGTCTGAGCCACTGTGCCCAGCCCGTCTTCTTCAATTTCTTTTATCAGTATTTTATAGTTTTCATTGCAGAGATCATTCACTGCCGAGACCAGCTGGGTCATGGAGACCCTTACCCAGCGGCGCTAGAGGAATTAAAGACACACACACAGAAATATAGAGTGTGGAATGGGAAATCAGGGGCCTCACAGCCTTCAGAGCTGAGAGCCATGAACAGAGATTTACCCACATATTTATTGACAGCAAGCCAGTCATAAGATTTACTATAAGTATTCCTTATGGGAAATAAAGGGATGGGCAGAAATAAAGGAATGGGCTCTGGCTGCTTACCTGCAGCATAAGTATGTCCTTAAGGCCCAGATCGCTTATGCTATTGTTTGTGGTTTAAGAATGCCTTAAGTGGTTTTCCACTCTGGGTGGGTCAGGTGTTCCTTGCCCTCATTCCGGTAAACCGACAACCTTCCAGCATTGCGTCAAGGCCATCACGAGCATGTCACAGTGCTGCAGAGATTTTGTTTATGGCCAGTTTTGGGGCCAGTTTATGGCCAGATTTTGGGGCCTGTTCCCAACATGTCCCCCTTTGTTTTGCAAAGTGATAAAAGCAAAGGCAGGTTTGTCATGGTGAGCTACTTCTTGCAGGAGTCAGGATCCACATCTGCAGAGTACACAAAGACAACACAGATTAAAAGGACGATCATTGTTGAAATCACAGAGCTTCCAAGTGTTTTTCTCCATTTGAATAGGTTACTAGCTGCTAATCTGTCTGCAGCTCCTTCGAGCACTCTAGTTCCTGGCATTAAGGTCAAGTGTGGCTGTGATGCTTTAAATATTTGTTCTTTTAATTTTGCAATATCCAAAGACAAGTTTGTAGAGTGGCCTTCTAGATGCTTTTTTATTCTTTCCTAAATTTTGATTTTATTAAGAGCTATTAATAATTTCCACAAATCCTTGTTTAGCTCCTACAATGGGCCATATCATTTGAGGTTGAGGTGCCACTATACTGCCATGGTTCCAGATAATAGGAACTCTTGTCATACTTCTTACCATTTCTACCATCTGACCATTTTGTTCAGACCAGCTGAACATAGTGTGGCCATGGCACGCAGACTGAGGTGCAATTCAAGCTAAACATCCCCTAGGGGACCAATCAATTCCATAGGAATCACTGCACAGCACCTCTGCCTGTTCTGCAATGCAATTTTCCTAAACAAGTATGTTCATTTTTTCTTGCCAGGTTCAATTTTATTTATAAATAGGTTTTTGAGGGTGGTATGCCTCAATTGTAGGAGCAGATTCATTATGGTAAATACTGAGATCAGAAAGCATGTGTAACTGTGTCATAGAGTGATTGCATCCAGGCATTGTTGCCAGCCAAGATGGATAAATATGCCCAATAAGTGTAATTGTTCTCTGTGTCAGCCCTTGTTGAAGGCAGTGGTGATCACCGCTATCATTAAATTATTCATTGTGACTGGTTGTCCCGCTTTCCTCAGGTTTTCTTCCGCCATCTGTGACAGCTTCTTGATCTGTCCCCAGGTGGGTGGCTGTGTTCGATGGGTGTTGCTCATGACAGTTGGCATCCTCCTCAGCGTCAGTCTTGACATGGCTGCAACCGGGGGTCCTCGGGATTCTCCTGGAATCTTTTCCCCAGCATCTGGCTTATGATAAGGTTTCAGGTGTTTTGATGGTATCCAAATCGGCTGTTGATTTGGTCCTGGAGAAACACAAGCATAACCTCTACCCCAAGTTATTATTTTACCTATTTCCCGACTTTTTGTTATTGGGTCTCTCCACCAAACCAGTTTTTCTGCTTCTGTCTTTGCAGCTGATTTCTGTAGATGCTGTTCAGCTGCTGATAGCATCTGGCCTTTAGGCAGGCTCAAAAAATTTAAAGTTAAGAATGCTAGATTCAATTGTATGCGGGCTGTCCTGTAATCCATTTCCCCCTTTCTGTTTTTGCAACTGCCGTTTCAGGGAGAGATTCATTCTTTCCACTATGGCTTGTCCTTGAGAATTATATGGGATACCAGTAATGTGTTTAATATTCCATATAGAGAAAAATGTAGCTAGAGCTTGGCTAGTATAGCCTGGGGTATTATCTGTTTCAATAGAAGCTGGAATGCCCACCACTGCAAAATACTGCAAGAGGTGACGTTTAACACAAGCAGAAGACTCTCCTGATTGGCATGTAGCCCAGACAAAGTGAGAAAAGGTGTCCACACATACATGTACATAAACTAGTCTCCCAAACGAGGGAACATGTGTGACATCCATTTGCCAAAGAGAATTAGGTTCCAGTTCTCGAGAATTAGCTCCTCCTGTAAAAGATGAGGAACGCACCACTTGGCAAGTTGGGCATCGCTGGATAATAGCTTTAGCTTCTTTCCAGGTAATGCTGTATCTGCGTTTGAGACCAGAGGCATTAACATGGGTTAAATTGTGAAAGTGTCTAGCATTAGATATTACTTTAGCAACAAGGCGATCAGCCATTTGATTCCCTTCAGTCAAAGGTCCTGGAAGAGATGTATAAGCCCTAATGTGAGTGATGTAAAAAGGGTGCATTCTACTCCTAACTGCTGCTTGCAATTGGGTAAATAAAGTAATCAGTTGTTCATCTGTATGAAATCATAACTGAGCATTTTCAATTAACTGTGTGGAATGAACCATGTATAAAGAATCAAATCACATTAATAGGCATATTAAAAGCAGTCAATACCTCAATTACAGCTACGAGCTCTGCTTTTTGAGCTGAACCATAGGGCATCTGAAAAACTTTACCTTTTGAGCCAGAATAAGAAGCTTTACCGTTGCTAGACCCATCTGTAAAAACATTCTCAGCACCTTCAATTGGTTTAAATTTAGTTATTCTAGGGAGAATCCAATTACTTATTGTGACTGGTTGTCCAGCTTTCCTCAGGTTTTCTTCCGCCATCTGTGGCAGCTTCTCGATCTGTCCCCAGGTGGGTGGCTGTGTTCGATGGGTGTTGCTCGTGACAGTTGGGGTCCTCCTCAGCGTCAGTCTTGACATGGCTGCAACTGGGAATCCTTGGGATCCTTCCGGAATCTCTTCCTTGGCATCTGGCTTATGATAAGGTTTCAGGTATCTTGATGGTATCCAAATTGGCTGTTGATTTGGTCCTGGAGAAACACAAGCATAACCTCTACTCCAAGTTATTATTTTACCTATTTCCCAACTTTTTATTATCGGGTCTCTCCACCAAACCAGTTCAAAAATTCAGACAGTTTTGTTTTAGGAAAATGGTTATCGAGAATACCCACAAAGTCAGCTAAATGGGTTTGCCAAGTAAGACTATTTATAAAAGCTTGCTGTATTTGTGCCTTTATGAGGACAATAATTTTTCCAGGATCATATCCATGTAATTTAACAATCCGAGTTCTGCCATTTCCTATTATATCACTATCAGAGTAGTGACTTGATCCAAATAAGGAGTTAGAGTCCATGAATTAGCATGTGGAAGAAAAAGCCATTCTAAGTCCAGCTCTTGGACAGTAACACCAGTAGGTGAATGCTGAGTTGGAAAAATTAGCAAATCTAGAGTCTTCTCTGGATCTATTCTATTTGAGCTTTATGGACTTGCTTTTCAATCAGCTGTAACTCTGCCTCAGCTTCCTTTGTTAATTGCCAAGGGCTAGTGAGACTAGGATCTCCTCTAAGGATAGAAAATAGATTACTCATGGCATAGGTAGGAATGCCTAGAGCAGGTCATATCCAATTAATGTCCCCTAGTAATTTTTGAAAGTCATTTAATGTTTTCATTTGATCCCTACGTATGGCTACTTTCTGTGGCACAATGGTAGTGTCATTTACTAAGGTCCCCAAGTAGGAATAAGGAGTAGTAGTCTGAATTTTGTCAGGAGCTGTAATTAAGCCAGCAGGAGAAATTGAATTTTGCAAGTGATCATAATATTGGAGTAATATTTCTTGAGTGGAGGCAGCACAAAGTATATCATGCATATAATGGATAATGTAACACTGAAATTTTTTTATGAGTAGGTTCAATTGCTTGCCCTACATATATCTGGCAAATTGTTTAACATACCTTGTGGCAACACTTTCCAGTGAAAACGTTTAGCAGGCTTAAGCTGCAGATTGTTTACTGCAAGAATTGTAAATACAAACCATTCACAGTCCTGCTCAGCTAAGGGGATAGTAAAGAAACAGTATTTTAAATCTATGACTATTAAAGGCCAATTTTTTGGAATCATAGCAGGAGAAGGCAATCTTGGCTGTAATGTCCCCATAGGTTGTATAACTGAATTAATGGCTCTTAAGTCAGTTAACATTTTCCGTTTACCTGATTTTTTCTTAATTATGAAAACTGGAGAATTCCAAGGGGAAAATGTTGGAGCTATGTGTCCCTTTTTTAATTGTTGAGTAATTAAGTCTTCTAAAGCCTCCAGTTTCTCTTTACTCAGCGGCCATTGTTCTGTCCAAATTGGCTTATCTGTTAACCATTTTAAAGGTATAGGTTCTGGAGGCTTAACAATGGCCGCCATCAAAAATGATATCCTAAACCTTGGCAGGAACTTTGTCTTTCCACTTGAAGCGGTTCCTTCAAACCTTGCAAATTTTTTCCTGTTCCCATGCCAGGGACATACCCCATTTCATGCATCATATGTTGACTTTGAGGGCTATATAATTGTTCTGGAATTAGAACTTGTGTTCCCCATTGTTGTAATAAATCCCTTCCCCATAAATTTATAGGTACAGAAGTTATAATTGGTTGAATAGTCCCAGGTTGTCCATCGGGCCCTTCACAATGCAAAATATAACTACTTTGATATACTTTAGGGGCTTTACCACTCCAACTATGTTAAATTGAGTGGGTGGAATTGGCCACGCAGACGGCCAGTGCTGTAGAGAAAGGATTGAAATGTCCGCTCCTGTATCTACCAAACCTTTAAATTTCTTTCCCTGAATAGTTATTTCACAGGTAGGATATTTATCAGTAATTTGATTCACCTAATAAGCTGCTTTGCCTTGTTTATTTGTGCTTCCAAATCCTCCTGTTCATTTAATTTCACTTTTCCCCATTTCCACATACGGCACAATTAGGAGCTGTGCTATATGGTCTCCAGGCTTTGCTTTCCAGGGAACAGAAGTAGATGTAACAATTTGAATTTCCCCATTGTAATCAGAATCAGTGACTCCTGTTTGTACTTGTACCGCTTTTATATTTAAACTAGACCTGCCTAGAAGTAATCCTGTCATCCCCGCTGGCAAGGGTCCACCGGCTCCTGTTGGGACCTTTTGCGGGGATTCCCCAGGCAGAAGGCTCACAGCTTTTGTGCAGCATAAATCTACTGCAGCACTACCGGCTGTGGCGGGGGACAGACATTGTACAGGGGTGAGGGAATGGCCTGAGCCAGAAATGCCCTGGTTTGAAATGGGGCCGGGAACTGGCCCCTCATGGCATTTCCCCAATTTAAAAGGAAAAGGCTCAAATGTAGCTATAATATTTCCCTGTTTATCTGGGGGGTGTACTCTAACAGGGAACTGCCAAGCCTCTAAATCACCCTCTCATCTAGCTTGCTGAATTCCTGCCTGAATAGAACTGAGAGCTGTTGCTTGAGGTGCAGCTTGAACAGTCAGTGGGGCAACTACTTTTCGCCCAGTGTCATCTGGAAAAGAAAGATCCGGAGGGTCAGGCTACTCTTTTTCTTCAAAATAATGAGGGGGTACAGAAGGGTAGGGATGAACCTCTCCCTCCATTGCCGCTTTACCTTTAGCTGGCAAACAAACCTGCTCTGTTACTTCATTATACTCTCCTTCCTCCTCATCAGTGTGAAAAGTTTCCAAGGTGGAATGAACCAGAGCCCACACTTGTCCCATTGTTACCCTGATGCTTCCAAGCTCCCCTTCTTACCACAGGGACTGCTTAAGAGTACTTGGGTGTCCTCCAGCTTAGTTCCACATTCTCCAACTGTTGCTCTGGTGACCCTTTGACCTGGGTTCGAGCCCCACGTATGGGCATTACTTGCTGAGACCAGCTTGGTCGTGGAGACCCTAACCCAGTGGTGCTAGAGGAATTAAAGACACACACACAGAAATATAGAGTGTGGAATGGGAAATCAGGGGTCTCACAGCCTTCAGAGCTGAGAGCCATGAACAGAGATTTACCCACATTATTTATTGACAGCAAGGCAGTCATAAGATTTACTGTAAGTATTCCTTACGGGAAATAAAGGGATGGGCCAAAATAAAAGGATGGGCTCTGGCTGGTTACCTGCAGCATGAACTTGTCCTTAAGGCACAGCTCGCTCATGCTATTGTTTGTGGTTTAAGAACACCTTAAGGGGTTTTCCACCCTGGGTGGGCCAGGTGTTCCTTGCCCTCATTCTGGTAAACCGACAGCCTTCCAGCATTGCATCAAGGCCATCATGAGCATGTCACAGTGCTGCAGAGATTTTGTTTATGACTAGATTTGGGGGCCTGTTCCGAACAGTTCACTTGGTTAATTCCTAGTATTTAATTTTATTTGTGGCTATTGTAAATGGGATTACTTTCTTGATTTCGTTTTTCAGATTGTTTGCTGTCGGCCTAGAGAAATGCTCTGATATTTGTATATTGATTTTGTATCCTGTAACTTTACTGAATTTATCAGTTCTAATAGTTTTTTGGTGCAATCTTTAGATTTCTCCAAATATAAGATCATATCATCTGCAAACAAGGGTACTTTGACTTCTTCCTTTCTAATTTGGATGCCCTTTATTTTATTCTCTTGTCTGATTGCTCTAGCTAGGACTTCTAGTACTGTGGTGAATGACAGTGATGAAAGTGGGCATCCTTGCATTCTAGATCTTAGAAGAAAAACTTTCAGTCTTCCCCAATTCAGTATGATACTAACTGTGGGTTTATTGTATATGGCTTTTATTCTATTGAGGTATGTTCCTTCTATACCCGGTTTTTTGAGGTTTTTATCATGAAAGGATGTTTAATTTTACCAAATTCTTTTTCAGCATCAATTGAAACGATCATATGGTTTTTATCCTTCATTCTGTTGATTTGATGTATCATATTGATTGATTTGTGTATGTTGAACCATCCTTGCATCCCTGGGATAAATCCCACTTAGTCATGATGAATGATCTTTTTAATGTGTCATTGAATTCAGTTTGCTAGTATTTTGTTGAGGATTTTTTTTTATCAGTGTTCATCAGGGATACTGGCCTGTAGTTTTATTTTTTTGATGTGTCTTTGTCTGGTTTTGGTATCAGGGTAATATTGGCCTCGCAGAATGAGTTTGAAAGTATTCCTTCCTCCTTTGTTTTTCTGGAATAGTTTCGGTAGGATTGGTATTAGTTCTTTAAAAGTTTGATAAAATTCAGCATTGAAGCCATTAGGTCCTGGGGTTTTCCTTGCTGGGAGACTTTTTATTACAGCTTTGATCTTGTTACTTGCTATTGGTCTGTTCAAGTTTTGGATTTCTTAATAGTTCAGTCTTGGCAGGTTATATGTATCTAGGAATTTTTCCATTTTCTCTAGGTTTTCCAATTTATTGGCATATAGTTGCTCATAGTAGCCTCTCATGATCTTTTGAGTTTCTGTGATATTGATTGTAATGTCTCCTTTTTCAGCTCTGATTTTATTGATTTGGGGCTTCTCTTTTTTTTCATAGTCTGGCTAGTGGTTTGTCAATTGTATTTATCTTTTCAAAAAATGAACTTTTTGTTTTGTTGATCTTTTGTATTGTTTTCTTCATCTTAATTTCTTTTATTTCTGCTGTGATCTTTTTTATTGCTTTTCTTCTAATTTTGGGTTGGTTTCCTCTTGCTTTTCTTCTTGCTTTCTCTGCATCTTTAAGATGCATAATTAGGTGGTTTATTTGGAGTTTTTCTACTTTTTTGATGTAGGTGCTTATTGCTATAAACTTTCCTCTTAGTTTTGCTTTCACTATATCCCATAGGTTTTGGTATGTTGTTTCCATTATCATTTGTTTAAAGAAATCTTAAAATTTCCTTCTTAATGTCTTTATTGACCCACTGGTCATTCAGGTGCATATTGTTTAATTTACATGTGTTTGTATAGTTTCCCAAATTCTTCTTGTAATTGATTCTAGTTTTATTCTGTTGTGGTCGGAGAAGATACTTGATATAATTTCAGTTTGTTTGAATTTTTAAAAACTTGCTTTTAGACCTCAAGGATAGACCTAACATATGGTCTATCCTTGAGGATGATCTATGTGTTGAGGAGAAGAATGCATATTCTGCAGCCATTGAATGAAATGCCCTGTAAGTATTTATTAGGTCCATTTGGTCAGTAGTACAGATTAAGTCTGATATATCTTTGTTGATTTTTTGTCTGGATGATCTGTCCAATGCTGAAAATGAAGCATTGGGAGTCTTCAGTTATTGTATTGGGATCTATCTCTCTCTTTAGCTCTAATAATATTTGCTTTATGTATCTGGGTGCTCTAGTATTGGGTGCGTATATATTCACAGTTGTTATAGTCTCTTGCTGAACTGAGTTCTTTATCATTATATAATGACCTTGTCTCTTTATAGTTTTTTCTTGAGATCCATTTTGTTTGATATAAATATAGCTACTCCTGCTCTTTTTTGGTTTCCATTTGCATGGAATATCTTTTTTCATTCTTTTGTTTTCAGTCTGTGTGTCTTTATAGGTTAAGTATGTTTCTTGTAGGCAACAGGTTGTTGGGTCTGCTTTTTTATCCATTCAGCCACTCTGTGTCTTTTGACTGGGGAGTTAGTCCATTTACATTCAATGTTATTACTGATAAGTAAGGTCCTACTGCTGCCTTTTTATTATTTGTTTTCTGGTTGTTTTGTGGTCTGCTTCCTTCTTAACCTTCCTTCCTGTCTTCCTTTTAGTGAAGGTGATTTTCTCTGGTGGTATGTTTTAATTTCTTGCATTTTATTTTTTGTGTATCTATCATATGTTTTTAGATTTGAGGTTACCACAAGGCTTGAAAATAGTATCTTATAACAATTTTAAACCAATGGCAACTTAACACTGATTGTCTAAACAAAGAGGCAAGCAAAAAGAAAACTAATAAAAACTACATGTTGGCCAGGTGCAGTGGCTCATGTTTGTAATCCCAGCACTTTGGGAGGCTGAGGTGGGTGGATTGCTTGAACTCAGAAGTTCAAGACCAGCCTAGGGGCTGGGCACGGTGGTTCACACCTGTAATCCCAGCACTTTGGTAGGCCGAGGCTGGGGGATCATTTGAGGTCAGGAGTTCAAGACCAGCCTGGCTAACATGGTGAAACCCTATCTCTACTAAAAATACAAAAATTAGCTGGGTGTGGTGCCTGTAATCCCAGCTACTTGGGAGACTGAGGCAGGAGAATCACTTGAACCTGGGAAGCGGAGGTTGTAGTGAGCCAAAATCACACCATTGCACTCCAGCCTGGGCGACAAGAGGGAGACTCCATCTCAAAACAAACAAACAAACAAACAAAACAAACAAAACAGCTTGGGCAACATGGTGAAACCCCATCTCTACAAAAAAATACAAAAATTAACCAGGCATGTTAGTGCACACCTATAGTCCCAGCTACTTGGGAGGCTGAGGTATGAGGATTGCTTGAGCCCAGGAGGTTGAGGCTGCAGTGAGCTGTGATTGCACCACTGCACTCTAGCCTGGTCAACAGTGACACCGTGTGTGTGTGTGTGTGTGTGTGCGCACACACACAAGTATGTATACTCTATATATAAATAAGTAAATAAATATATTTTACCTTCATTACATTTTAACAACATCTGCATTTTAACTCCATTCCCTGCTTTTAAACTTTTTGTTGTTTCTATTTATATCTTATTGTATTGTCTATGACCTGAAAACTTGTTGTAGTAATTATTTTTGATCAGTTCGTCTTTTAGTCTTTCTACTCAAGACATGTATGGCTCACACACCACAATGACGGTACTCTAATATGCTGTGTTTTTCTGTGTACTTGCTATTACCACTGAGTTTTGTACCTTCAGACACTTTCTTATTGTGCATTAATGTCCTTTTCTTTCAGATTTAAGAACTCTCTTTGGCATTTCTTTTAAGATAGGTCTAGTGTTGATGAAATCCCTCAGCTTTTGTTTCTCTGGAAGACCTTTATTTCTCCTTCATGTTTGAAGAATATTTTTGCGGGATATAGTATTCTAAGATAAAAGTTTTTTCCTTCGGCACTTTAAATAGGCCACTCTCCTGGCCTTTAAGGCTACCACTGAGAAATCTGCTGCCAGACATATTGGAGCTCCATTATATGTTATTTGTTTCTTTTTTGTTGCTGCTTTTAGGATTTTTTCTTTATGTTTGACCTTTGGGAGTTTGATTGTTAAATACATTGAAGCAGTCTTATTTGGGTTAAATCTGCTTGATGTTCTCATACTTAAATATTGATATCTTCCTCTAGGTTTGGGATGTTCTTTGTTATTGTCTCTTGGAATTAATTTTCTACCCCCACTGTCTGTCTACGTCCTCTTTAAGGTCAACAACTTTTCTTTTTCTTTTTCTTTTTTTTTTTGAGACGGAGTCTCACTTTGTCACCCAGGCTGGAGTGCAGTGGTGCGATCTCAACTCACTGCAAGCTCCACCTCCCAGGTTCATGCCATTGTCCTGCCTCAGCCTCCAGAGTAGCTGGGACTACAGGCACCCACCACCACGCCTGGCTAATTTTTTTGTATTTTTAGTAGAGACGGGGTTTCACTGTGTTAGCCAGGAAGGGGCAACAACTTTTAAGTTTGCCTTTTTGAGGCTGTTTTCTAGATCTTGTAGGTGTGCTTCATTCTTGTTTTTTTCTTTTGTCTCTTCTGACTCTGTATGTTCAAATGGCCTGTCTTCAAGTTCACTAATTCCTTCTTCTGCTTGATCTGTTCAGCTGTTAAGAGACTGATGTATTCTTCAGTATGTTAGTTGCATTTTATAGCTCCAGAATTTCTACTTGATTCTTAATTATTTCAATCTCTTGTTAAATTTATCTGATAGAATTCTGAATTCCTTCTCTGTGTTATCTTTAGTTTTGTTGAGTTTCCTCAAAACAGCTATCTTGAATTATTTTTTTGAAAGGTTACATATCTAGCTCTCCAAGATTGGTTGCTGATGCCTTATTTAGTTCATTTGGTGAGGTCATGTTTTCCGGAATCATCTTGATGCTTGAGGATGTTTGTTGGTTCCTAGGCATTGAAGAGTTAGGTATTTATCGTAGTCTTCACAGTCTGGACTTTTTGTACCCATCCTTCCTGGAAAGACTTTCCATATATTCAAAGGAACTTGGATGTTGTGATGTAAATTTTTCGTCATTGTTGCCATATCTGCCTTAGATGACACCCCAAGCCCAGTAACACAGTGGCTCTTTTAGACTTATAGAGGCACTGCCTTGATGGTCTTAGATAAGATCTAGAAGATTTCTCTGGATTACCAGGTAGAGATGCTTTTTGTCTTTCCTTACTCTCTCCTAAACAAATGGAGTCTCTGCTGAGCTTCCTGGAGCTGGGGGAGTGGTGAAACAAGCACTGCTGTGGCCACCACCACTGAGATTACACTGGGGCAGACCTGAAGCCAGCACAACACCAGGTCTCAACCAAGGCCCTTGGTAACCACTGTGGCTACTGCCTATATTTGCTCAAGGCCCTAAGGCTCTATAATCAGCAGGTAGTAAAACCAGCCAGGCTTATGTCCTTTCCTTCAGGATGGCAAGCTCCCCTCAGTCTTAGGTCCAGTGGTGCCATCCTGGAGCCAGGTCCTGGAGTTGGAAACCTTAGGAATCTACCTGGTGCTCTATTCTACTGCGGCTGAGCTGGCACCCAAGCCTTCCCAGTCCTCCCTCCCTTTTTCATGAGCAGAGGAGTCTCCCCCTTAGCTGCCACTGTCCTAGGTTCATGGCAAGTACTGCCTGGCTACTGCCAGTGTTCATTCAAGGCCCAAGGGCTCTTCAGTCAGCTTGTAGTGAATGCTGCCAGGCCTGAGACTCTCCCTTCGGGGCAGCAGGCTCCCCTCTGGCCCAGGACAAGTCCAGAAATACCATCCAAGAGCCAAGGCCTGAAATCAAGGACCCCAAGGGCCCGCTTGGTGCTCTACCCCACTGTGGCCACACTGATACCTAGGCTGCAAGACAAAGTCCCCTTTGCTCTTCCCTCTCCTTTTCTCAAGCAGAAGTCCCTTTCTGTAGCCACCACATCTGGGAGTGTGCTGGGTCACACCTGAAGCCAGCACGTCTCTGAGTCTCACCCAAAGGTCCATGATGAGTATGGCCTGGTTACCACTGCTGATGATTTGGGGCCCAAGCGCTCTTTATTCAGCAGGTGATAAATCCTGCCAGTACTAGGTCCTTCCGTTCAAGGTAGCAGGTTCCCTTGTAGCCCAGGCTGTGTCTAGAAATGTTATCTGGGACATTTGGTGTCCAGGGTCTGGAATGGGAGCTTCAGGACTTTGCCTGGTGCCCTGTTCTGTTGTGGCAGAGCTAGTGTCCAAGTTGTAAGAGAAAATCCTGTTTACTCTTCCGTCTCCTTTCCTCAAGTGGAAGGAAAGAGTCTCCCCTGGAGCTGCGAGCTGCACTGCCTGGGGTTGAGGGAGGGGTGGTGCAAGCACTCCCTTGGTGGTCCTGCTGGTGTCTTACTGGGCTGCGTGCCCTCCAAGTCCATTGGCTCCAAGCCCAGCCCAGCACCAAGACTTGCCCAGGAATTGCAGTCTTTGTGGTCTGGGCTGCTATTCAAGTTTATTTTGAATCCCAGAGCAGTTTAGCCCATGGTGGTAAGTCTTGCTGGAACTTGAGTTTCCACCACCAGGATGGGCAATTCCCCTCTGGCTACAGCTCTAAATGCTTCCTCTGTGGGCGCCAGCTGAATTCTGCCCCCTTTTGCTTTCCACTGTGACAGGGCAGCACTGAGTTCCGATGTGAAAGCCCTACAATCCCTGCCCTCTCCCTCCCCCAAACACAGAGATTCTCTTTCTGTGCCACAGGAATGGGAGAGGGGTGGTGTCAGCAATTCACGACTTTATCCTCTTCAGTGCCTCTTGCAGTGATATTATGTTAAAACCATGTGATTGCTCACCTGATTTTTAGTTCTTATGAAGGTGCTTTGTTGTGTGGATTGTTGTTTAATTTGGGAAGATGATTGGTGGAGGCTTCCATTTGGCCATCTGGCTCTGCCTTTCCTCCTAGAATTATATCTGGTTGTTTTTTTTTTTTTTTTTTTTTTTTTTTCAGTAGTTTGTGCCAGCCGGGATTTTGACCAGATCCACATTTATTTGGTTGATATGCCTCTTAAGTTTCTTTTTTTTTCTTTGCAATATGTTTGTTAAAGAAATTGGGTTATTTGTCTTGTACAACTTCATATATTTTTAAAATGAATGCTGTTGGGATAAATAGAAAAATATCAAGGCCCCCACCCTCCAATTCTGGTAGACTTTACCTCTTGAGGGATATTAATATGCTCGTGATGGACTAGTTTTGCTTATTTTTAGCATCAAGGAAGATTTGGTCTATTCCTTTCTACTTCACATTATGAGAACAGTTGGTTGGTTGGTTTTCCAAACATAAAATGGTATTGTAATTTGGAATATGCTTTTCATACTACTCTGCACTCACCAAAATATTCTGGTATTACTCTCCTCCCCCAAATCACAGATGTAGGGTAGACTCTTCAGAATTTTAAAAAATCATGTTTTCCTTTTCCCCAGAAATACTATATTTTGAGATCTACTCTGCCTAAGCAAAAATAGGAAATAGAAAAACCTCTCTTTATGCTCAGTGTGTATCACTCGAACTTTTCAAGTTAAATGTTATCAAGCAGTAAGTGTCTGTTCTTCACTCTGACAATTTCTTTGCTGTTCCTTGTAAAAAGTTCTACTGCGCTTTTTGTTGTGGTAAAATATACATAATGTAAAATTTATCATTTTAACTATTTTTAACTGTATAATTGAGTGGCATTAAGTCCATTCACAGTATTTTGTCACTATCACCAAAACTTTTTCATTACCCCAAACAGAAATCTGTAACCATTAAGCAATAATTCCCCATTTTCCCAGCCCCTTTCTGTTTGTGTGAATATGCGTATTCTAGATACCTCATATAAGCAGAATTGTACGGTATTTATCCTGTTGTGTCTGATTTATTTCACATAATGTTTTCAAGATTCATCCATGCTGTAACATGCATTATACTTCATTCTTTTTTATGGCTGAATAATATTCCATTGTGTGTATATATCACAGTTTGCTTATCCATTCATCCCCTAGGATATTGGATTGTTTCCACCTTTTGGCTATTGGGAATACTGTTGCTGTGAACATGTGTTCACAGGTATCTGACCCGTTTTCAATTCTTTTGAGTATACTATATACTCAAAAGTATATTGTATATGTATACACTATATATTTGTATATATTTATACAGTATACCTATATATAGTGGAGTGGCACTGCTGGGTTATATGGCAGTTCCATGTTTAACATATTGAGGAACTGACAAACTCTTCTTCACATTTTAAAAACTGCTTTCTTAAAGATCTTCGTACCTTACTAGTTGCTAAATCTGATGGCTCTACCTCTCTTCTCACCTGTCTTAGCTTCTCTATAAATCTTTGTGGCACCTCACATTGCTGTCGATAGACCCTCTTATTCTTCTGCTTTGTAATCCTTCTCAGGCCCTTCCTGGGTTCTTCCTCCTCCACACAGTCCTTAAATGTACATGTTCCCAGAGGTTCAGTTACTTAAACTCTCCTTTGCTATTATTTTCGTGTAACTTAAACTATCCTTTTGATTTTAAACACCTCTGTCAGGCCTACATTTGAACTTGAATCTCATAGGCATTTCCATATCAGTGTTCTCTCAAATGTGACATGTCTAAAACAACATTCATCTTCTGTTAATCCTCTCAAGCCCATTCTCTCCGTGGTCCCTGTCACTAAGGCTTGAAAGCTGTATATTGATTTTATTATCCCTTTGTCCCTTGGGGGCCCATGCCCTGTAAAGTTGACGAGTGCGGGCAGTTCTCCTGCTGGTCCTCCTTTGCACTCACTTTCACAGTTCTAAATCATGCTATGAGAGCGTCTTTCTTGAATTTTTCTAACTATATTTCTTGGTTCTAGATTTTTTTTCCCTCTGTTCCAAATCATTTTCCACACAGCTGCTAGAATTTTCTCCCTAAGATATATTTGCTTAAAGACAATACCCTTTTTGCATGCAGAACAAGTTAATTCTTCTCATCCTCAGCATCAGATCCCCTTCCTGTCTTCATATAATTAATTACCTTCCAGTAACCTTATCCTGCTCCGTGATCCATCTGTATTCATTACTACAGCCAATCATTCTACTTGCTTTTCTCTTTGGAAAACTGAAAATGTACAGGTTGCAGTTTCCCAAGACTTGAACTTTCTCCTTGAAATATTTCAGTATTTGGCCATTGGAATTTTAATCCTTAAAGCCAACACTTAAATCTCAACTTATCTAAGAAATCATCTTCAAGTGTTTCAGACAAAATTAATGTCTGCATCCTCATTCCATATAGTTTGCTTATATCTTTATTGTAGCACACTTTGAAGTTTGCTTCAGGATATGCTAAAGTTTTCCACCTGATTTATTATTTCTTTACGATTTTTTTCCTTAGAGAAAAAGATTACCGACCAAAATGTGTAACGGTTTCCGAGGCCCTCATGATGTTGTCAGACTGCTTTTAAAAAGCTGTCTGCACTTTGGCTGGGTGGCTCAAGCCTATAATCCCAGCACTTTGGGAGGCCAAGGTGGGAGGATCACTTGAGGCCAGGAGTTTGAGACCAGCCTGAGCAACATAAATAAATAAACCTTTTGTCTGCACAAAAATAAATAAACCTTGCAATTTATAATTTCATCATTGATAAGTGTATCATTTAACTACTATACTTTGAATGTAAGTATTTAGAAAAACTTTCCTAGTTTTTGTTAGAAAATAGTATCTTGTTTTTATTTGCTTGTTTTTGCTAATTATATTGAGACTGAAGACTTTTCCAATGTATTTCCTTGTATGTTTCTCTAGTGAATAGTCTTTTTAATATACTTGTTCCATTAATCTAATACTTTATTCATTTATCTAATCCCATGACTCATTTGCTATAGATATTTTTTCTATTTTTGTCCTTTTGCTTTTTAATTTTGCCCATCACCTTTTGACTTATAGTAATAGCTTTAATTGATTTTTAAGATTAATATTTGTAAATGTTTTCTTTAGTTTTCAATATATTTTTAGAAACTTGGAAAGAGTTGGTAAAAAGACAAGGGAACTTCATTATAAATTGTATTTTAAAAGAGAAAGCATATATTATCCTTACAATCTATTGATCAGTTAACTTAAAAATCTTCAGGATAGTAAAAAGGTCTACCTCACTTTTTTTTTTTTTTTGCTCCTTCCTGTACACCTTCCTGCACAGTGATCTTTCCATTTTTTTTAATTGTGGTAAAATGTAGATAACATGAAGTTTATAGTTTTAATGAATTTTTTTCTTGTCTTTTTTTTTTTTTTTTTTTTTTGAGGCAGGGTCTCATGCTGTTTCCCTGGCAGAAGTGGTGCAGTGGCTATGGTCATGGCTTACTGCAGCCTTGATTTAGTGGGCTCAAGTGATCCTTCTGCTGCAGTCCGCTGAGTAGCTGGGAACACAGGTGCACAGCACCATGTCTGGCTAATTTTTTTTTTTTTGTACTTTTGTAGAGACAGGGTTTCACCATGTTGCCCAGGCTGGTCTTGAACTCCTGGGCTCAAGCGATCCGCCCACCTCAGCCTCCCAAAGTGCTAGGACTACAGGCGTGAGCCACTGAGCTTGGCATGTTCATGTTACTCAATCCCTGAGCCTATTCATGCTATTGGAAAGGATGCTGTGTTTGTTAGGGTTCTCCAGAGAAACAGAACCCATAGGATGTGTGTATACACACACACAAATGCACACGCACAGATTTATTTTAAGGAACTGACTTAAACGATTGTTAGGAGTGTGTGGAGACTAGCAAATCTGAAATCTGTGGAGCAGGCCAGAGACACAGGGAGGAGTTGCTGTTGCAATTTGAGTCCAAAGGCAGCGCGGGGGCAGAATTCCATTGGTATGTGTTCAGATTTCCTCCTCTTATAAAGACACCAGTCCTATTTGACTAGGGCTCAGCCTAATGGCTTCATTTTAATTTAACTATTCTTTAAAGACTCTATCTGTAAATACAGTTACACTCTGAGGTACTGGGGGTTAGGACTTCAACATGAATTTTTAGGAAAACACAATTCATCCCATAAAAGATGCCAAATAATCTCCTGTGGGATGGAGTGGGAGGAAGCAAACCAGCAGATATTTTCTTAAACTCATTTATGGAATTCATAATTTTGTATGAAATGCATTTTATAAATGGCTAGCAATTCACTTTTATTATCTGATGTTATATTTATAAATTGCTAGGTAATTTATTCTGTCTCCAAAGTGTTTCCAGAAAATTCTGACTTCTCATTTCATAATAAGTTACGAGGTATTTGGTATATATAAAGCGTGTGTGTGTGTGTGTGTGTGTGTGTGTGTGTGTGTGTGTGTGTGTGTATATATACATATATATATATACACACAAAGTACCAGGTATTTGGTACTTTTTGTTAAGAGGATACTTTTTAAATTAAATATTTCTCAAAAACTAGAATTGGTGCTTATTACTATCTTATTCTATAAAGTATATAAACTCAATATTGAATCTTACAAAAATATTAAAGTCATTAGCATTTCCTTACCGACAAGATTGGACTTCTAAAATCTTGCATCATGGGAACTAAAAATTCTTCTTTTTAAAATAAAACATTTTGTTTTGTGATAATTGTAGATTCACATGTAATTATAAGAAATAATATCAAGAGATCTTGTGTACCCTTTACCTAATTTCCCCCAATGGTAATATCTTGCAAAAGTATACTGTAATATTAAAACCAGAATATTGACGTCCTACACCCATCTTCCCCCTTCCACAACCCCCCAAATCCCTGTTGTCCTCAGTTCGTGGCAATCACTAATTTGTTCTCTGTTTCTATAATTTTGTCATGTGAAGGATGTTATATAAATGGAATCATACAGTAAGTAAGCTTTTAGGATTAGATTTTTTCAGTCAGCATAATTCCCTTGATTCATCCAAGTTGTCACATTTATCGGTAGTTTGGAAAATGCCGTTTAGAATCCAGCCCCAGCATCACAGAACAGGGTTTCTGAGACTTGGCACTATGGACATTTGGACCAGATAATTCTTTGTTTTTGAGGACTGTTCTGTGCATTTTAGGATGTGCAGCATCTGGGGCATTTACCCAATGGATGTTAATAGGATCTCGCCAGGTATGGCAACCAAAAATGTCTTCAGACACTGCCTAAAGTTCCCGCGGGTTGCCACGTTTTCCCAGAAATTACCAAGTATCCTATCCCTTGGGTGAGAACCACTGGAGTAGAGTATAGAAAGTGGACTTGGAGTGAAGAGACTACAACTTAACCACTGGCAAAATCCATCCTCAGACTACTCTGCATGTCTACACACCCTTCTACACACATGTCCATGTGAGCATTCCCTTACCTAGAGACTACATTGTAACATTACAATGAAATTTGTATTAAATAATGAAGAAGCAGAAGTAAAAAGAAAATAGTTAACATATACAGAGACACACACCAAACCCATGAGAATGGACTCTGGAGGCTGTGTCCTTTGACTCCATGGACAAGACTCAACTAAATCATGTGGACACATTATAACCTCTAGAAACCAATATGCATACAGAACCCTGCACCTGGGTGTCAGGTGTCAGGGTTAAAGGAACGGTAGTTTGTTGGGTCAGATACTTTTTTTTTTTTTGAGACAGGTTCTTGCTTCACCTACTCAGGCTGGAGTGCAGTACATGATCACTTGGCTCACTGCAGCCTTGACCTCCCCAGGCTCAAGTGATCCTTCCACCTCAGCCTCCCAAGTAGCTGGGACCACAGGTGTGTGCCAGCATGCCCAGCTATTTTTTTTTTTTTTTTTTTTTTTGGTGTTCTTTGTAGCGACAGGGTTTTGCGATGTTGCCCAGGCCAGTCTTGAATTCCTGGGCTCAAGCTGTGTGCCTGCTGGGCCTCTCAAAGTACTGGGATTACAGGCATGAGCCACTGCACCTAGCCCAGATACTTTCTTTTTTAAAAAGCATATCATGGAAATTTTCAGACATGAAGAAAGTAATAGATTTTAAAAAATCTATTAGTAATTTTTTTTTTAACCTATAGCCCTGCCCTTCTTGGTTAATTGAAGCAAATCTCAGATATTAGATGATTTTTCCTTTTTTTTTTTTTTGAGATGGAGTTTCACTCTGTTGCCCAGGCTGGAGTGCAGTGGTGCCATCTCGGTTTACTGCAACCTCTGCCTCCCAGGTTTGAGCTATTCTCTTGTCTCAGCCTCCTAAGTAGCTGGGATTACAGGCGCCTGCTACCATGCCCGGCTAAATTTTGTATTTTTAGTAGAGATAGGGTTTCACCATGTTGGCCAGGCTGGTCTCAAATTCCTGACCTCAAATGACCCACCCGCCTCAGCCTCCCAAAGTGCTGGGATTGTAGGTGTGAACCACCGTGCCCGGCCAGAATTAGATGATTTTGGTGATGCAAAATAATCTATGTCCTGACCCCCGTTCTTTTTAAAATAAACTTTTAGTTTTAGCGTAGCCTTAGATTTACAGAATATTGTGAAGATAGTAGAGAATTCCCACATATCCCATATCCAATTTCCCCTGTTATTAACATCTTACATTAATATGGTACGTGTATTTCAGTTAATGCTAATGTCCATACTGTATTCAGATTTTCTTAGTTTTTACCTAATGTGCTTTTGCTGTTCTAAGGACAATAGGTAAAAGCTAAGGCTCTCATGCAGGATACCACACTGTATTTGGTCATTGTGTCTCCTTAGGCTCTTCTTGGCTGTGACAGTTTCTCACACTTTCCTCGTTTTTGATGACCCTGACAGTTTTGAGAAATACAGGCATATGCTGGTGATACTGTGGGTTCGGTTCTGAGCCACTGCAATAAAGGGACTATCACAAAGTGAATCACACACATTTTTTGGGGGGGTGCATATAAAAGTTATGTTTACACTATACCGTAGTCTTTTAAGTGTGCAATAGCATTATAGCTTAAAAAAAAAGCCCAATGTGCATGCCTTAATTTTAAAAATGCTTTATTGTTCAAAAATGCTAATGATCATCTGAGCCTTCAGTGAGTGGTAATCTTTTTGCTGGTGAGAGTCTTGCCTTAACATTGATGCCTGCTGATGCTTCCTGAAGGTTAGGATGGCTGTGGCAAGTTCTTTTTGTTTTGTTTTGTTTTGTTTTGTTTTTTTGAGATGGAGTCTTGCTCTGTTGCCCAGGTTGGTGCCATCTCGGCTCACCGCAACCTCTGCCTCCCGGTTCAAGCGATACTCCTGCCTCAGCCTCCCGAGTAGCTGGGACTACAGGCATGCGTCACCATACCCGGCTAATTTTTTTGTATTTTTAGTAGAGATGGGGTTTCACCATGTTGGCCAGGCTGGTCTCAAATTCCTGACCTCAAATGATCCGCCTGTCTCGGCCTCCCAAACTGCTGGGATTACAGGCGTGAGCCACTGTGCCTGGCCAAGTTCTTAAAATAAGACGGAAGTAAAGTCTGACTCATCGATTGACTTTCCATTCATGAAAGATTTTTCTGTAGCTGTTTGATAGCAATTTACCCACAGTAGAACTTCTTTCAAAATTAGAGTCAATCCTCTAAAACCCTGCTGCTACTTTATCAACTAAATTTAGTAATCTGCTTTTTGTTATCGTTTCAACAGTGTTCACAGCATCATCACCAGGAGCGATTCCATTTCAAGAAACCATTTATTTGCACATCCATATCTTCCGTCTCTATTTCTAATTCTGGTTCTCTTGCTATTTCCACCCTATCTGCAGTGACGTACTCCACTGAAGTCTTGAACCTGTCGGTCAAGGTTGGAACCAACTTCTTCTAAACTCCCGTTAATATTGACATTTTGTAGTTCTGGCAAATGTGGAATAAAAAAATAAATGATATTTTGACCTCCTCGAATGAATGGGTTTTTGTTGTTGTTGTTTTGTGAGATACAGTTTTGCTTTGTCACCCAGGCTGGAGTGCAGTGCTGCAGTCATAGCTCACTGCAGCTTCAAACTTCTGGGTTCAAGCAGTCCTCCCGCCTCAGCCTCCCGAGTTGTTGGGACTACAGGCATGTGCCACCATGCCCAACTTTTTTTTTTGTATTTTTTTTTTGTAGCGATTGGGTCTCACTCTGTTGTCCAAGCTGGTCTTGAACTCTAGGCCTCAAGTAACCCTCCCACCTCCACCTCCAAAAGAGTTGGGATTACAGGCATGAGACACCATACCTGGCTATAAATGTTCTTAATGGCATCTAGAATGATAAAGCTTTTCCAGAAAGTTTTCAATTTATTTTGCACAGATCCACCAAAGGAATCACTGTCTGTGACAGCTATAGTCTTACGCAATTTATTTCTTAAATAATTAGACTTGAAAGTAGAAATTACTCCTTGATCCATGGGCTGCAGAATGGACAGTGTGTTAGCAGGCATGAAAACAACATTTATCTCCTTGTATATATCCATGAGAGTTTTGGGGTGACTAGGTATGTTGTCAGTGAGCAGTGATATTTTGAAAGCAATCTTTCTGATTAGTAGGTCTCAACAGTGGGCTTAATATATTCAGTAAATCATGCTGTAAAACAGATGTTCTGTCATCCAGGCTTTGTTGTTCCATTTCTAGAGCACAGGCAGAGTAGATTTTGCATAATTCTTAAAGGCCCTGAGATTTTCAGAATGGTAAGTGAGCATTGGCTTCAACTTAAAGTCACCAGCTGCATCAGCCCCTAACAAGAGAGTCACCCTATTTGGAAGCCGGACATTGATATCTCTAGCTATGAAAGGTTCTAAATGGCATCTCCTTCCAATAGATGGCTGTTTAGTCTGCATTGAAAATATATTGTTTAGTGTAGCCATCCTCATCAGTGATCTTAGCTAGATCTTTTGGATAACTTGCTGCAGCTTCTCCATCAGCACTTGCTGCCTCACCTTACACTTTTATGTTGTGGAGATGATATCTTTTTAAACCTCATGAGCAATTCTTTGCCAGTTTCAAACATTTCTTCTGCAGCTTCCTTACTTTTCTCAGTCTGCATAGAATTGAAGAGAATTAGGGACTTGCCCTAAGACTGGTTTAAAGGAATATTTTGGCTGGTTTGATCTTCTATCTGGAGCACTAAAGCTTTCTCCATATCCGCATTGATGCTGTGTCACTTTCTTATTCCTGTGTTCACTGGCATAGCACTTTTAATTCCCTTCAAGAATTTTCCTTTGCGTTCACAACTTGGCTGTTTGGTGCAAGAGGCCTAGCTTTCAGCCCATCTTGGCTTTCCACATGCCTTCCTCACTAAGCTAAATTACTGGTAGTTTTTTTTTTTATATATATATACTTTAATTTCTAGGGTACATGTGCACAACGTGCAGGTTTGTTACATATGTATACATGGGCCATGTTGGTGTGCTGCACTCATTAACTCGTCATTTACATTAGGTATATCTCCTAATGCTATCCCTCCCCCCCCTCCACCCCACGACAGACCCTGGTGTGTGATGTTCCCCTTCCTGTTTCCAAGTGTTCTCATTGTTCAATTCCCACCTATGAGTGAGAACATGCGGTGTTTGGTTTTTTGTCCTTGCAGTAGTTTGCTGAGAATGATGGTTTCCAGCTTCATCCATGTCCCTACAAAGGACATGAACTCACCCTTTTCTATGGCTGTATAGTATTCCATGGTGTATATGCGCCACATTTTCTTAATCCAGTCTATCATTGATGGACATTTGGGTTGGTTCCAAGTCTTTGCTATTGTGAATAGTGACACAATAAACATACGTGTGCATGTGTCTTTATAGCAGCATGATTTATAATCCTTTGGGTATATACCCAGTAATGGGATGGCTGGGTCAAATGGTATTTCTAGTTCTAGATCCTTGAGGAATCACCACACTGTCTTCCACAATGGTTGAACTAGTTTACAGTCCCACCAACAGTGTAAAAGTGTTCCTATTTCTCCACATCCTCTCCAGCACCTGTTGTTTCCTGACTTTTTAATGATCGCCATTCTAATTGGTGTGAGATGGTATCTCATTGTGGTTTTGATTTGCATTTCTCTGATGGCCAGTGATGATGAGCATTTTTTCATGTGTCTATTGTCTGCATAAATGTCTTCTTTTGAGAAGTGTCTGTTCATATCTTTCGCCCACTTTTTGATGGGGTTGTTTGTTTTTTTCTTGTAAGTTTGTTTGAGTTATTTGTAGATTCTAGATATTAGCCCTTTGTCAGATGAGTAGATTGTAAAATTTTTCTCCCATTCTGTAGGTTGCCTGTTCACTCTGATGGTAGTTTCTTTTGCTGTGCAGAAGCTCTTTAGTTTAATTAGATCCCATTTGTCAATTTTGGCTTTTGTTGCCATTGCTTTTGGTGTTTTAGACATGAAGTCCTTGGCCATGCCTATGTCCTGAATGGTATTGCCTAGGTTTTCTTCTAGGGTTTTTATGGTTTTAGGTCTAACATTTAAGTCTCCAATCCATCTTGAATTAATTTTTGTATAAGGTGTAAGGAAGGGATCCAGTTTCAGCTTTCTACTTATGGCTAGCCAGTTTTCCCAGCACCATTTATTAAATAGGGAATCCTTTCCCCATTTATTGTTTTTGTCAGGTTTGTCAAAGATCAGATGGTTATAGATGTGTGGTATTATTTCTGAGGGCTTTGTTCTGTTCCATTGGTCTATATCTCTGTTTTGGTACCAGTACCATGCTGTTTTGGTTACTGTAGGCTTGTAGTATAGTTTGAAGTCAGATAGCATGATGCCTCCAGCTTTGTTCTTTTGGCTTAGGATTGTCTTGGCAATGTGGGCTCTTTTTTGGTCCCACATGAACTTTAAAGTAGTTTTTTCCAATTCTGTGAAGAAAGTCATTGGTAGCTTGATAGGGATGGCATTGAATCTATAATTATCTTGGGCAGTATGGCCATTTTCACGATATTGATTCTTCCTATCCATGAGCATGGAATGTTCTTCCATTTGTTTGTGTCCTCTTTTATTTCATTGAGCAGTGGTTTGTAGTTCTCCTTGAAGAGATCCTTCACATCCCTTGTAAGTTGGATCCCTAGGTATTTATTCTCTTTGAAGCAATTGTGAATGGGAGTTCACGCATGATTTGGCTGTCTGTTACTGGTGTATAAGGATCCTTGTGATTTTTGCACATTGATTTTGTATCCTAAGACTTTGCTGAAGTTGCTTATCAGCTTAAGGAGATTTTGGGCTGAGACGATGAGGTTTTCTAAATATACAATCATGTCATCTGCAAACAGGGACAATTTGACTTCCACTTTTCCTAATTGAATACCCTTTATTTCTTTCTCCTGCCTGATTGCCCTGGCGAGGACTTCCAACAGTATGTTGAATAGGAGTGGTGAGAGAGGGCATCCCTGTCTTGTGCCAGTTTTCAAAGGGAATGCTTCCAGTTTTTGCCCATTCAGTATGATATTGGCTGTGGGTTTGTCATAAATAGCTCTTACTATTTTGAGATACATCCCATCAATACCTAATTTATTGAGAGTTTTTAGCATGGAGGGCTGTTGAATTTTGTCAAAGGCCTTTTCTGCATCTATTGAGATAATCGTGTGGTTTTTGTCTTTGTTCCGTTTATATGGTAGATTACGTTTATTGATTTTCATATGTTGAACCAGCCTTGCATCCCAGGGATGAAGCCCACTTGATCATGGTGGATAAGCTTTTTGATGTGCTGCTGGATTTGGTATGCAAGTATTTTATTGAGGATTTTTGCATCGGTGTTCATCAGGGATATTGGTCTAAAATTCTCTTTTTTTGTTGTGTCTCTGCCAAGCTTTGGTATCAGGATGATGCTGGCTTCATAAAATGAGTTAGGGAGGATTCCCTCTTTTTCTATTGATAGGAATAGTTTCAGAAGGAATGGTACCAGCTCCTCCTTGTACTTCTGGTAGAATTCAACTGTGAATCCATCTGGTCCTGGACTTTTTTTTGTTGGTAGGCTATTAAGTATTGCCTCAATTTCAGAGCCTGTTATTTTCCTATTCAGGGATTCAACTTCTTCCTGGTTTAGTCTTGGGAGGGTGTATGTGTCCAGGAATTTATCCATTTCTTCTAGATTTTCAGTTTATTTGTGTAGAGGTGTTTATAGTATTCTCTGATGGTAGTTTGTATTTCTGTGGGATCGGTGGTGATATCCCCTTTATCATTTTTTATTGCGTCTATTTGATTCTTCTCTTTTTTCTTCATTAGTCTTGCTAGCGGTCTATCAATTTTGCTGATCTTTTCAAAAAACCAGCTCCTGGATTCATTGATTTTTTTGAAGGGTTTTTTGTGTCTCTATCTCCTTCAGTTCTGCTCTGATCTTGGTTATTTCTTGCCTTCTGCTAGCTTTTGAATGTGTTTGCTCTTGCTTCTCTAGTTCTTTTAATTGTATGTTAGGGTGTCAATTTTAGATCTTTCCTGCTTTCTTTTGTGGGCATTTAGTGCTATAAATTTCCCTCTACCCACTGCTTTAAATGTGTCCCAGAGATTCTGGTATGTTGTGTCTTTGTTCTCATTGGTTTCAAAGAACATCTTTATTTCTGCCTTCATTTCATTATGTACCCAGTAGTCATTCAGGAGCAGGTTGTTCAGTTTCCATGTAGTTGAGCGGTTTTGAGTGAGTTTCTTAATCCTGAGTTCTAGTTTGATTGCACTGTGGTCTGAGAGACAGTTTCTTATAATTTCTGTTCTTTTACATTTGCTGAGGAGTACTTTACTTCCAACTATGTGGTCAATTTTGGAATAAGTGTGATGTGCTGAGAAGAATGTATATTCTGTTGATTTTGGGTAGAGAGTTCTGTAGATGTCTATTAAGTCCGCTTAGTGCAGAGCTGAGTTCAATTCCTAGATATCCTTGTGAACTTTGTGTCTCATCGATCTGTCTAATGTTGACAGTGGGGTGTTAAAGTCTGCCATTATTATTGTGTGGGAGTCTAAGTCTCTTTGTAGGTCTCTAAGGACTTGCTTTATGAATCTGGGTGCTCCTGTATTGGGTGCATATATATTTAGGGTAGTTAGCTCTTCTTGTTGAATTGATCCCTTTACCGTTATGTGATGGCCTTGTCTCTTTTGATCTTCATTGGTTTAAAGTCTGTTTTATCAGAGACTAGGATTGCAACCCCTGCCTTTTTTTGTTTTCCATTTGCTTGGTAGATCTTCCTCCATCCCTTTATTTTGAGCCTATGTGTGTCTCTGCACATGAGATGGGTCTCCTGAATATAGCACACTGATGGGTCTTGACTCTTTATCCAATTTGCCAATCTGTGTTGTTTAATTGGAGCATTTAGCCCATTTACATTTAAGGTTAATATTGTTATGTGTATTTGATCCTGTCATTATGATGTTAGCTGGTTATTTTGCTTGTTTGTTGATGCAGTTTCTTCCTAGCATTGATGGTCTTTACAATTTGGCATGTTTTTGCAGTGTCTGGTACCGGTTGTTCCTCTCCATCTTTAGTGCTTCCTTCAGGAGCTCTTTTAGGGCAGGCCTGATGGTGACAAAATCTCTCAGCATTTGCTTGTCTGTAAAGGATTTTATTTCTCCTTCACTTATGAAGCTTAGTTTGGCTGGATATGAAATTCTGGGTTGAAATTTCTTTTCTTTAAGAACGTTGAATATGGTCCCCACTCTCTTCTGGCTTGTAGAGTTTCTGCTGAGAGATCCGCTGTTAGTCTGATGGGCTTCCCTTTGTGGGTAACTCGACCTTTGTCTCTGGCTGCCCTTAACATTTTTTCCTTCATTTCAAATTTGGTGAATCCGCCAATTATGTGCCTTGGAGTTGCTCTTCTCAAGGAGTATCTTTGTGGCGTTCTCTGTATTTCCTGAATTTGAATGTTGGCCTGCCTTGCTAGGTTGGGGAAATTCTCCTGGATAATATCCTGCAGAGTGTTTTCCAACTTGGTTCCATTCTCCCCGTCACTTTCAGGCACACCAATCAGACGTAGATTTGGTCTTTTCACATAGTCTCATATTTCTTGGAGGCTTCGTTCATTTCTTTTTACTCTTTTTTCTCTAAACTTCTCTTCTTGCTTCATTTCATTCATTTGATCTTCAATTACTGATACCCTTTCTTCCAGTTGATCTAATCAGCTATTGAAGCTTGTGCATTCATCACGTAGTTCTCGTGCCATGGTTTTCAGCTCCATCAGGTCATATAAGAACTTCTCTACATTCTAGTTAGCCATTTGTCTAATCTTTTTTCAAGGTTTTTAGCTTCTTTGCGATGCATTCGAACTTCCTCCTTTAGCTCGGAGTAGTTTGATCGTCTGAACCCTTCTCTCAACTCGTCAAAGTCATTCTCCATCCAGCTTTGTTCTATTGCTGGTGAGGAACTGCATTCCTTTGGAAGGGGAGAGGCACTCTGATTTTTAGAATTTTCAGCTTTTCTGCTGTGTTTTTCCTATCTTTGTGGTTTTATCTACCTATGGTCTTTGATGATGGTGACGTACAGATGGGATTTCGGTGTGAATGTCCTTTCTGTTTGTTAGTTTTCCTTCTAACAGTCAGGACCCTCAGCTGCAGGTCTGTTGGAGTTTGCTGGAAGTCCACTCCAGACCCTGTTTGCCTGGGTATCAGCAGCAGAGGCTGCAGAACAGCAAATATTGATGAACAGTAAATGTTGCTGCCTGATTTTTCCTCTGAAAGCGTCATCTCAGAGGGGTACCCAGCTATGTGGGGTGTCAGTGTGCCCCTACTGGGAGGTGCCTCCCAGTTAGGCTACTTGGGGGTCAGGGACTCACTTGAGGAGGCAGTCTGTCCATTCTCAGATCTTAAACTCTGTGCTGGGAGAACCACTACTCTATTCAAAGTTGTCAGACAGGGACATTTAAGTCTGCAGAGGTTTCTGCTGCCTTTTGTTTGGCTACGCCCTGCCCCCAGAGGTGGAGTCTACAGAGGCAGGCAGGCCTTGAGCTGCGGTGGGCTCCACCCAGTTTGAGCTTCCTGGCTGCTTTGTTTACCTACTCAAGCCTCAGCAATGGCGGGCACCCCTCCCCCAGCCTCGCTGCTGCCTTGCAGTTCGATCTCAGACTGCTGTGTTAGCAATGAGCAAGGCTCCGTGGGCGTGGGACCCTCCGAGCCAGGCATGGGATGTAATCTCCTGGTGTGCCATTTGCTAAGACCATTGGAAGAGCACAGTATTAGGGTGGGAGTGACCCTATTTTCAAGGTACCGTCTGTTACAGCTTCCCTTGGCTAGGAAAGGGAATTCCCTGACCCCTTGCAGTTCCCAGATGAGGCGATGCCTCGCCCTGCTTTGGCTCACACTCAGTAGGCTGCACCCACTGTCCTGCACCCACTGTCCAACAAGCCCCAGTGAAATGAACCCGGTTACCTCAGTTGGAAATGCAGAAATCACCCGTCTTCTGCGTCACTCACGCTGGGAGCTGTAGACTGGAGCTGTTCCTATTTGGCCATCTTGGAACCACCCCCAATCACTTGTAGTTTTTTATTTAAAGTGAGAGATGTGTGACTCTTCCTTTCCCTTGAACACTTATAAGCCATTGTAGGGTTATTAATTGTCTGGATTTCAAAACGGTTTTGTCTTAGGGAACAGGGAGGCCCAAGGAGTTGGGGAAAGACAAAGGAATGGCTGGTTTGGTTGAGCAGTGAGAACACACACATTTATTGAGTAAGTTCCCTGTTTCACATCTGCACGTGGTTCCTTGTGTCCCAAAACAATTACAGGAGTAACATCAAAGATCATCGACACAGATCACATAACAAATATCATAGTAATAAAAAAGTTGAAATATCCTGAGTATTCGCAAAACGTAACACCGAAACACGAAGTAAACAAATACTGATGGGAAAATGGTGTTCATATACTTGGTCAATGCAGGGTTGCCACAACCCTTCAATTTGTAAAACAAACAAACAAAAACCACAACGTCAACGAAGCACAATAAAGTGAAATGTTTAAATGAGGTATACCTCCACTGGTCAGGTATCTTGTAGATGTCCCTCAGTTGGGATTTGTTTCATGTTTTGGGGAGGAAGACTACAGAGGTCAAATGCCATTGTCATCATACCATATTAAGGATACATACTATCTGTGCATATCACTATTTAGAGTAATCTCAATTACCTGGCTGAGGCAGTGGTTGTCAGGTTTCTCCACTGTAAAGTTTCTCCCCACCCTCCCTTCTTGTACTGTAGTCCTTTGGAAGAAAGTCCATGTGCACAGCCCACCCTTGAGGGCGAAGTGTCTAAATTATTTGGAATTCTGTGTGGAGATCTGTTATAGTCTGTCCTGTTTACTATTTAGTCATTTATTTCTCTCAGTTTGGATTTAGGGACGTTTATTTTATACTTTGGGCTATAATGCAATACAACTTTATTTTTTTGTTCAGATGATTGTCACAGCTACGGCTATTACGAGCTCTTCATTTGGTTCCATCTGTCCCTTTGATGTGCCCCCGACATTGTAGTTTTTGTTTGTTTTATTGAGCACTTCCTTATTTTCTGGCACTGCAAGAGCCATCTTGCACATTTCCTGTCCCAGTCTTAGAATCTGCCATTTTTCTAAGGACTTCTGGTCCTTTTTTATTGGAGAATGATATTAAAAACCAAGAACTGGGTGTGTGTTAAGCCATTCTTGCATTACTATAAAGAAATACCAGAGACTGGGTAATTCATAAAGAAAAGAGGTTTAATTGGCTCAGGGTTCTGCAGGCTTTACGGGAAGCATGGTGCTGGCATCTGCTTGGCTTCTAGGAAGGCCTCGGGAAGCATCCAATCATGGCAGAAGGTGAAGGGGGAGCAGACACGTCACATGGTGAAAGCAGGAGCAAGCAAGAGAGAGTGGTAGGGGAGGTGCCACATACTTTTAAATGACCAGATCTTGCAAGAACTCCCTGTCAGCAAGTCAGCAGCAAGCCATGAGGGATCGATTCACCCCCATGATCCAAGCATCTCCCACCAGGCCCCACCTCCAGCACTGGATCATGTATCTGCCTCTGTCATATTACACAGAAGTTGCCCTGCCCTAAAAATTCCCCTGTGCTTCATATTGAACCCTCTGCCTCCCCACCCTATGAGCCCCTGACTACTACTGATCTCTTTATCATCTCTATAGTTTTACCTTTTCCAGAATGTCATACAATGGAAAGCATTCAATATGTAGCCTTTTCAAGTTGGCGTCCTTCATTTAGCAATATGCATTTCAGTTTTTTTCACATCTTTGTGTAGTTTGATAGTTCTTCTTTTTGCTGAATAAAACTCCATTGTATGGATGTACCACTGTTCATTCATCTTTTGAGGGACCTCTTAGTTGTTTGCTTCCAAGTTTTGACGGTTATAAATAAAGCTGCTGTAAGGTTTCATATGCAGGTTTTTGTGTTGGTGAGTTTTGATAGTTTAAAGAAATTGGTACATTTTTTCTTGCATTTGTGGGCATAGAGTTATTTGTAATATTTCTTTATTATCCTTTTACTGTTCATGGGAACAGTATGATGACTGGTTCTTCATTGCTGATATTGGTAATTTGTCTTTTCTCTTTTTTCTAAGGGAAGAGAGGGTACAATCTAATCAGTTTTACCTGGCTAGAGGTTTATCACTTTTTTTGATCTTTTTAAAGAACCAGCTTTTGGTTTTGTTAATTTTTCTCTTACTGTTTTCCTTTTTCCAATTTCATTGATTTCTATTTTAATTTTTATTGTATTTTTTTCTTTTGATTGCCTTAGGCTTAAATTGTTTTCCTTTTTATTTTTAATTTTTTAATTTTTAATTTTCTAGTAAGTTCATGTCAGACAAGTAAAATGGGCTGACTTCGTAATAAGATTTGAGGGAGGCATATTTCCCACAAGCACATGAAAACCCAGTCACCACACTTATGAACTACAAAAGAATCAAATTGTTCTTCTTTCTCTGGTTTTCAGAAGTGCAAGCTTAGATCTTTCTTCCTAATATTTTCATTTAATGCTGCACGTTTTTCTCTAAACACTGTGTGCTTTGTATCCCACAAATGTTGATGAGTTATATTTTCATTTTTACTTTAGTTCAATATATTGTTTAATTTTTGAGACTTCTTAGACCCATGGGTTATTTAGAAATGTGTTAATTTCTAGATATTGGGGGATTTTCCAGATATCTCCGTTACTGATTTCTAGTTTAATTATGTTATTTGAGACCATGTTTTGTATGCTTTCTAGTCTTGAATCTGTTAAGATGTGTTTTATGGTCCAGAATGTGGTCTATATTGGTGAATGTGAGCTAGAGAAGAATGTATATCTACCATGATTGGATGGAATTTTCTATAAACGTCATTTAGATCAGGTTGATTGATAGTGCTGTGCTGTTCTAGTTATCAGTTTCTTTACTGATTTTCTGGCTGCTTGATCTGTCAGTAACTGACAGTGTTGAAGTCTCCAACTGTAGTAGTGGATTTGTCTCTGTATATTTTTCTTAGTTTTGCCTCATGTATTATGATGCCTTCTTATTTGAAGCATACACATTCAAGACTGTTACGTCTTCTTGGAGAACCGACCTCTTTATCATTATATAAGATCCTTTTTGTCCCTGATTATCAGACAAAATCTGTTTTGTCTGCAGTTACAATTACTCCAGCTTTCTTTTGATTTGTAATGTCAGCATGATATATCTTTCTCCATCCCTTTACTGTTAGCATATCTAAAGCTTTATAGTTCAAGTTGGTTTCTTACAGACATGATATAGTTAGGTCTTTTTAAAAAATTTTGTCCACTGTGACACTCTCTTTTGATTGGTGTATTTAGACAATTCACGTTAGAAGTGATTATTAATATTGTTGGATTAGCATCTTCCATCTTTGTAACTGTTTTGCACTCATTGCTTTTTTCTTTCTTTTTTCTTTTTTCTTTTTCTTTTTCTTTTTTTTTTTGAGACAGAGTCTCCCTCTGTTGCCCAGGCTGGAGAGCAGTGGTGTGATCTTGGCTCACTGCAAGCTCCGCCTCCCGGGTTCACACCATTTTCCTGCCTCAGCCTCCCAAGTAGCTGGGACTATAGGTGCCCGCCACCACGCCCAGCTAATTTTTTGTATTTTTAGTGGAGACAGGGTTTTACTGTGTTAGCCAGGATGGTCTCGATCTCCTGACCTCATGATCCGCTTGCTTTGTCCTCCCAAAGTGCTGGGATTACAGGTGTGAGCCACCGCGCCTGGCCTTTTATTTCTTTTTAATTGGACATTTTATGTGATTCAACTTTATCTCCTCTCTTATCTTGTATGAGCTTCCTATTCTTACAGCACAACTTATCACACAGTTCTGGAAGTCAGAAGTCTGAAAAGCATCTCAGGGGACTAAACTCAAGGTGTTGGCAGGGCTGTTTCACTTTTTTGAGGTTCTGGGAGAGCATCTGTTTCCTTGCCCTATTGAGAAGCCACCTGCAGTCCTTGGCTTGTGGCCCTTTTCTTCCATCTTCAAAGCTAGCAGTAGGTCAAGTTCTTCTCACATTGTATCAACTCTGATCTCCTCTTTTGCCTCCCTCTTTCACATTTAAGGACCCTTGTAATTATATTGGGTCTACCCACATAATCCAGAATAATCTCTGTATTTTAACGTCATCTGAGTAGCAACTTTAATCTCATCTGCTACCTTAATTCTGGGGATTAGGATGTGTACATTTCTGAGGGGACCATTATCGGGGAATCTGCCCCAATATTCACGTAGGTTCTTTTCTATTTTCCTTAAGCGTAGGCCAGCTTGAGAAATAAAGGGACAGAGTACAAAAGAGAGAAATTTTAAAGCTGGGCGTCCGGGGGACACATCACATGCCGGTAGGTTCCGTGATGCCCAACAAGCCACAAAAACCAGCAAGTTTTTATTAGGGATTTTCAAAAGGGGAAGGGAGTGTGCAAATAGGTGTAGGTCACAGACATCAAGTACTTTACAAGGTAATAGAATATCACAAGGCAAGTGGAGGCAGGGAGAGATCACAGGACTACAGGACTGGGGTGAAATTAAAATTGCTAATGAAGTTTCGGGCACCATTGTCATTGATAACATCTTACCAGGAGACAGGGTTTTAAGATCAACCAGTCTGACCAAAATTTATTAGGCAGGAATTTCCTCTTCCTAATAAGCCTGGGAGCGCTATGGGAGACTGGGGTCTATTTCAGCCCTGTATTCTCAACCATAAGAGACGGGCACACCTGGGGGTGCTGTTTATAAGCGTATACCTCCAGGCACGTATTCTCTTTCCCAGGGATGTTCCTTGCTGAGAAAAAGAATTCAGCGATATTTCTCCCATTTGCTTTTGAAAGAAGAGAAATATGGTTCTGTTCCACCCGGCTCACCGGCGGTCAGAGTTTAAGGTTATCTCTCTTATTCCCTGAACAATTGCTGTTATCCTGTTCTTTTTTCAAGGTGCCCAGATTTCATATTGCTCAAACACACATGCTGTACAATTTGTGCAGTTAATGCAATTATCATAGGTCCTGGGGCAACATACATCTTCCTCAGCTGACAGGATTAAGAGATTAAAGTAAAGACAGGCATAGGAAATCACAAGGGTATTGATTGGGGAAGTGATAAGTGTCCACGAAATCTTCACAATTTATGTTTAGAGATTGCAGTAAAGACAGGCATAAGAAATTATAAAAGTATTAATTTGGGGAACTAATAAATGTCCATGAAATCTTCACAATCCACGTTCTTCTGCCATGGCTTCAGCTAGTCCCTCTGTTTGGGGTCCCTGACTTCCTGCAACAGACCATTATTCTGTCAGTTACGATGTAGCATGTCAATTATACTTCTTTTAAAAAGTTTTTAGGAGGCTGAGGCAGGAGAATCACTTAAACTTGGGAGGCGGAGGTTGCAGTGAGCCAAGATCATGCCACTGCATTCCAGCCTGGGCAGCAAGAGCAAAACTCTGTCTCAAAAAAAAAAAAAAAAAAAAAGTTTTTAAGCTGGGTGCTGTGGCTCACCCCTGTAATCCCAGGATTTTGGGAGGCCAAGGCAGGTGGATCACTTGAGGTCAGGAGTTTGAGACCAGCCTGGCCAACATGATGAAACCCCATCTCTACTAAAAACACAAAATTAGCTGGGCATGTTGGCGCACGTCTGTTGTCCCAGCTACTCAGGAGGCTGAGGCAGAAGAATTGCTTCAACCTGGGAGGTGGAGGTTGCAGTGAGCCAAGATTGTGCCACTTCCAGCCTAGGTGACAGAGTGAGACTCCGTCTCAAAAAAAAAAAAAAAAAAGAAAAAAGAAATTCTAATGTGTAGAAAGCAAAAGTTCCTCTTCAAAGCTTCCCCTTTAAATCATAAATGTTATTGATATCTTTTCTCAGAACTAACTTTCTTCAAGTTTCTTATTTTATAGTAATAACTCTCTGTTAAGCCTTATGTAGCAAATGTGACAGAATAAGCATACTCTGACTTCAGTATCTGTGTTAAACATGCTCACAGGCACATAATACATTTTGTGTCCTTGTTCCTTAGTCAAATTATTCGTGCTGAATGTGCCCAGGCATGTCCCAGCTTGCAGCCTCCTCCCTTATTTGGGAATATTATTACTTTGTAAATCCTTTCGTAAGTAACTTCCTTTTTTCCTTTGTTCCTCACTGCCTTTACCTGTTTAGAAAAGTTTTGAACTGTTAGCCAATCGGGTTTTAGTTTAGATTGTGAGGTCTGGCTCCAGCCAATGGAGTCAGAACACAGCAATAGGGACCTCATGCGTAAAGGATAAATATTCTAGTGTCTTTTTTACTTTGTGTGTGCTTGTGGCAGGATTGCTGACGGGCACCACCCTTTCTGCAGAGAGTAAACATCGCCTTGCTAAGGAAACTTTTTGTCTGATTGCTGATTCTTCTCTGCGACATCGGGGAATAAGCATTTATTTCCAACATAGTGTTTACTCTAGAGTTTACAATATACATTTTATTTTATTTTTCAATTGGCATATAATTGTGTATATTTATGGGGTACATAGTGATGTTTCTATATACGTAACGTATCAGTGATCAGATCAGAGTAATTAGCATATCCATCATCTCATACATTTATCATTTCTTTGTGTTGGGAACATTCAATATTCTCCTTATAGCTATTTGAAACTCTACAATATGTTATTGTTAACTATAGTCATCCTAGAGTGCTATAGACCAGTAGAACTTATTCCTCCTATCTAGCTATAATTTTGTAACCTTTAACAAATCTCTTCCTATCTCCTCCCTTCGCCCACCCTTCCCAGCCTCTAGTATCCTCTGTTCTGATTTTTCTGTGAGATCAACTGTTTTTCAGCTTCCACATATGAATGAGAACATGTGGTGTTTAACTTTCTGTTCCTGGCTTATTTCACTTAATATCCTCCAGTTCCATCCATGTTGCTGTGAGTGACAGGATTCCACTCAAATTATGGCTGAATAGTATTTCATTGTGTTTATATTCCACATTTTCTTTATCTGTTTATCTGTTGGACACCCAGATTCATTCCGTATCTTGGCTATTGTGAATAATGCTGCAGTTAACATGGGGATGTAGATGTCTCTTCGATATACCAATTTCCTTTCCTTTGGATAAATGCCCAGTAGTGGGATTGCTGGTTCATATGGTATGCTATTTGTAGATTTTGAGGAGCCTCTATACTGTTTTCCATAGTGGCTGTACTAGTTGATATTCTCACCCGCAGAGTGTAAGAGTTCATTTTTCTCTGCATCCTCCCCAGCATTTGTTGGTTTTGTTTTATTTGTCTTTTTGGTAATAGCCACTCTAACTGGGATGAGATGATACCTCATTGTGCTTCTGATTTGCTGTTCCTTGATGATTTGTGATAAGTGAACATTTTGTCATATATTTCTTGGCCATTTGTCTTCTTTTGAGAGATGGCTATTCAGATCATTTGCCCATTTTTAAATCTGATTTTTTTTTCCTGCTGAGATGTTTTAGTTTCTGGTTTATTCTGGGTATTAATCCCCTTTTGGATGAATAGTTTGCTTATATTTTCTCCCATTCTATAGGTTGTCTTTTCACTCTGCTGATTGTTTCCTTTGCTGTATAGAAGTTTTTTAGTGTGACATAATCCCATGTGTTTGTTTTTGCTTTTGTTGCCTGGGCTTTTGAAGTTGTATTCATAAAATATTTTCCCAGATTAACGTCCTGAGGCATTTCCCCTGTTTTCTTTCAGTAGTTTTATAGTTTCAGGTCTTACATTTAGGTCTTTAATCCATTTTGAGTTGATTTTCACATAGAGGTGGGAGGCTAGTTTCATTCCTCTGCATATGAATATCCAGTTTTCCCAGTATCATCTATTGAAGATACTGTCCTTTCCCCAGTGAGTATTCTTGGCATCTTTGTCAATAATCAGTTGGCTGTAGATATTGTGGATTGATTTCTGGGTTCTCTATTCTGTTCCATTGCTCTGTATATCAGTTTTTATGCCAGTACCATGTTGTTTCCATCACTACAGCTTTGAGGTATATTTTGAAGTCTGGGAGCATGACGCTTCCAGCTTTATAACTTTTTTTTCCTCTTTGAGTTGTAAGCCACTTTTAGTATATTTGGAACCCTGTGGGTGTGGTGGTGAAGTGTGAGGGAGGGTGGGAGTTCTGGAATCTGGTTAAATCTCAGTCTGACAGTGGGTCTGGGTCTCACATAGGTTCACTCTTACAGTGGGCTGTGATCTTCACAAGTATTTCTCTAGCGTTAGAGCTCTTCTCCCCTGTTATCTATTCCTGCCCTATTTCCTTGAGGCCCTGACCTTTGCGGATTTTTTTGCCCTGTAGGTATGACAGGAAGGCTGGAGGGGGCTGGAGTGGGAGGAATGCCCTTTGCATTCCCCTAGTTAGGAGAAGGATCTAGCAAAGTTTTTTTCCCCTGGAGCAAATGACTTTGTGGCAGAGAAAACTCTGGGCTTATTACTCTTCCCCTCCCCTGCCAGAGGGATCTCTCTGGGATCTTTTACCTTAGTGCCTGGTGGAGTTCCTGGAGGTAAAGCCCACAGAAGTGTGGGTCTCGCACCTCCTGAGACTGCTTCCCCGAGTTTCTCACTCTCACTAGTCCACACCGAGCATCCAGCACCAGCTTATGGCTCTGGCAGTTTCTGCTCCAGGTAAGCGGATCTCCTCTGTGTCTTTCCAGGTTTCCAGCACAGTTTGCCCTGTTAGCTCAGTTCTCTGATCGTCCCAAAAGAGCCATTGATTTTGAATTTTCCCAGCTTTTTCTCATTACATGTTGCAGCTGAAAGCGAAGTCACCACCTTGTTTTTAACTTGTATTTTGTGACTTGTTACCACTTCAGTGCTTTAGACACATAGGCTCAGTGCTGCAATATTGTGTCTAGGTTTGATTATGCTAAATTTAACCTTTCTTATGTATCACCGGAGTAGTAAGGATTTCAAACTACCCTGCCTGGTAGCTTTCGCTTTCCTTAGAAAAGCTTATCACTTCTTGACTGGGCCCCGTGGCTCCCGCCCATAATCCCAGCACTTTGGGAGGCCAAGGCAAGGCTGGCGGATCACCTGAGGTCGGGAGTTTGAGACCAGCCTCACCAACATGGAGAAACTCCGTCTACAAAAATACAAGCCGTGGGGTGGCGCATGCCTGTAATCCCAGCTCCTTGGGAGGCTGAGGCAGGAGAATCGCTTGAACCCGGGAGGCGGAGGTTGCGGTGAGCTGAGATTGCGCTGTTGCACTCCAGTCTGGGCAACAAGAGCAAAACTCTGTCTCAAAAAAAAAAAAAAAGACACTTTGGGAGGCCGAGGCGGGCGGATCACGAGGTCAGGAGATCGAGACCATCCTGGCTAACACACTGAAACCCCGTCTCTACTAAAAATACAAAAAAATTAGCTGGCCGTGGTGGCGGACTCCTGTAGTCCTGGCTACTCCGGAGGCTGAGGCAGGAGAATGGCGTGAAGCCGGGAGGTGGAGCTTGCAGTGAGCCGAGATCGTGCCACTGCACTCCAGCCTGGGCGACAGAGCGAGACTCCGTCTCAAAAAAAAAAAAAAAAAAAAAAAAAAAAAGAAGAAGAGAGAAAAGTTCATCGCTTTTTTAATGTTCTGTTCCTGCAAGTATGAAGATATGTTACTGCTTTTCAGAAAAAGCAGTGTGCTTTTTTCTGTGCATTATTTTGCACTTTAAGGCAAGAAAAGCTGTAAAGGCTCTCTTTATTAGATTTTTCATTTAGAAATAAATTAGTTCATCTAAGGATTTGTCAAGTTGTTCCTTTTCTGTTGAAACCTGAATTGATTGGTTTTGGTTCTTCTGGAAGCAGATCTTGAGATAGAAATCTGAATCCAAGTTGTGTATTTGCGAGGTAATCCCAGGACACACCAGTAGGGGAATGAAGTGCGCCGTCTAGGAAAGACAGCCAATAAAGGGCATGTTTTCAAGCCAGGTCCCGCTGTGGACAAATGAAGCTTGATTGTGCTGAGGAATTCTAGAGCCAGTGTAGCATACGTATGTCAGAGTTGTGATTTTTCCACTGGGGGTTTGGAGGGAGGCTGGATTTAAGGAAGCTGGAGTCTTCTTATCAGTATATTGTGAGGACTGCCCTCAGGTAGGTACACATTCCCCTGTAGTTTGGGCCTGCCCTGCACGTGGGCAGATGGGCTTCAGAAGCCAGAGATACAGGTACTGGCAGTTGGAATTCAGAACACTGTGCGGGATAGTAATGCTCAAGGGGACCTGCAAACAACAGTAACTGCGATGTTTATTTACTGGGCTTGGTTAACAGCATGAGCTAGGATCTGGTGATTTGCCAGATTGATTAAGTCTGTCAGCTTTCTAAACCTGTTGAGGTGGTAGATTCTCAGAAATTAATTTTCTATACAGTTCACGATGTATGGAGGAAAAAAGTTTTCTGAAAAAGGCCCATAGCTGGGCATGGTGGCTCATGCCTATAATCCCAATACTTTGGGTGGATGAGGTGAGGATCGCTTGAGCCCAGGAGTTGGAGGCTACAGTAATCTATGATCATAACCACCACACCCCAGCCTGGGTGACAGTGAGACCTTGTCTCAAAAAAAAGGCCCAAGATTCTGTCACAGTTTGATTTGCTGATGTTCTTTTTGGCAGTACCTAGCCTGCACTCTTTGAAATGCCAAAACAACTGTTTAGAAAATAGCCCTGGCCTTGTGCTTCCGATAATGGCCTGAGTAACCTAGTTAAAGCCAGCTGATACTTTTCTGAAAAGCATCAAGGAATTTACAACATAGTAAAGAATTACTGGGTTAAGATTTGGGAGATGATAGAAAACCAGAGACGTGAGCCTCTGACCCAGGGCCGCTTTTGCCCGGCTATTTGCTGTTCTGGAAGAGCAGGTGAGAGGCTGAGCAGTGTAGTTAACTGACTCACAGGAGGACAGAAACAAAAACTGGAGTCTAGAACTTGCTGTGGGTAAGAATCCTGGTGAGCCACCTGGGGTTAATGTTGAAACCTTGAGAGGCTGCCATCCAGAACACTCATGGGCTGGGAGTGTGCCAGCCTTTGCCTGGACTGAAGCTCCATGGGGTCACCTGGGGGTTTAGTAAATCTCAAATGGTGAAATGGATTAGGGTGATCTCAAATTGCTGGTGACCCCAGTCACCTAACAGAGACAGATGAAAATCCTCTCCAGAGGAAGATAACATCTCACGCCTCAAATTATTTCTGAAATGATTTTTCAAATAGTGTCCACCATACCACCAAGTCAGTGTAACCAGGCCCACTGGGAGACTACCTTAACAAGAACCCGCACAGATAACAGAGGATAGAAACAGGCTTTGCAGACAGTGGAATTACCAGACAGACGCTAAAGCATATGTTTATTATGTTCATGGAGATAAAAGTTGAATAAAAACATTTCAACAAGGAACTGGAAACTTAATATAAGGGGGCAAAGCAGACCTGAAAAACAACTAAATACTAGATCTAAAAAATACAGTAGCCAAAATGGAGGATTCAGTGGATTCAGCAGATTAGATACTGCTGAAGAGAAAAGTGAGCCCCCGAGAGATCAGAAGAAACCTCTCTGAATGAAGCGTGAGGGGGGAAGGCTGGACAACACTGAAGAAGCTGTAAGAAATATACTCCATCCTGAGAAAGTCTGACATACGTGATTTGAATCCTAGAAGGAGAAGAGGGAGGGGGGTAGAAGGAATATTTGTTTTTGTGTTTGTTTTTTTTAGACAGAGTTTCACTCTTGTTGCGCAGGCTGGAGTGCAATGGTACAGTATCGGCTTACCCCAAATCCAAGTGATTCTTCTGCCTCAGCCTCCTGAGTATCTGGGATTACAGGCGTATGCCACCATGCCCAGCAAATTTTGTATTTTTAATAGAGACAGGGTTTCTCCATGTTGGTCAGGCTGGTCTTGAACCCCCGACCTCAGATGATCCACCCGCCTCGGCCTCCCAAAGTGCTGGGATGATAGGCATGAGCCACTGCGCCCGGCCGGAAGGAATATTTGAATAAATAATGGCAAAGATTTTTGAAACCCCATGAAAGATGACAATCCACAGAATTAAGAGATTCTTAATATAGCATAAGGTGATTCTTAAAGTTTTCCACTTCTAAGTAATATGCAAATTCATTTTCCTTAGATTGAGCTTCCTTCCCCTCCTCCTTTCTAATTTTAGCAGTGGTTTTCAGAATTCTGCTGAGAGTAAGTGTTTTTCTAACAAGTGATGAATTACATGTTTTTTTTAATCACATTTACAAAATAATTTATGTGCTAGAGTTCCAAAAATTTTGATTGGACAAAAAGGATGCAACTTCTGTTTTGATTGAAGACTGAGAGATAAGAACATCTTAAATAAAAGGCAAGCTTTCCAGACCCAAAGGATTAGTTTATAATGCAGGAATTTCAGCATAATGGGCAGTCAGGGGGCAGAGCCCCTCACTGGCACCACTCAGCCATGGTTTATAGGTAGCTCCTACTCTGTCTCCCTTGCCGACTGGGAAGAATGACTCTCACGGATGAATGGCATAGCTGACACAGGAAAGAGTATGTGTAGGATGCAAGCGAAAACCCTTTAACTAATACTACTATTAATAATTATGTATAACAGCTGGACACAGTAGCATGTGCCCATAGTCATTTTATTTCAATTTATATTATTTGTTTTCCTTACTGTTCTTTTCTACCTCATAGAATTAGGAGGTAGAAACTACTGACCTCATGCTTGCTCCCTGAGGCTAGCTTTTACCTGAGGTAGCTTTTACCTTCTTGTCTTCCACAGGTCTATAGTGAGCGAGAGCTGCTACTTTTTACTTGGGCATTCATTCAAAGTGTTGAAGAATAACAGCCTCTACCATCCCTTATTCACTGGCTCATCAGCTGTCCCAGGTTTTGCTCTTCTAGGTATTTGCCATGTTGTTTGTCCTTTTAGTTTCTTTTCTATGTGTTTGATTAAATTTGCTTCTTTCTCCCATCAGCATTACCTTGTGGTTTTCTTCTGCATTTGAGACACAGTGTTAGACATTTGATGCATTCATGTTCTTTTCGATTGTCTTACAGAGAAGAGATTCATAAATATCAGGGATGTCTGAGGATCATTCCCAGGGAGCATATGATGTCTGGAATTTGCTCTGAACCTTTCCTAATTCAGCAATCGCCTTATGTGTAATTATAAACTACTATTGGTAGCTATGTTTTCTTCTAGCTTTCTGGGTAGATAAGGAATGGGAAAGAATAATGTGTATTTTTATGTTGTCATCACCTGGTAATTTCACAGGGGTATGTGGGTACTGTACTGTTGTAAATTAATATTTGTACTCACATGACTACAGCTGAGTTAAAATATGAGTGTGCCTCTTTTATGGAAAAAGCTAATAAATATTTGCTGTTTGACAATTTGTAATGCAAGAGTATCTTACAAGAAAATAGCTGGAAACTACTGAAAGGTAAATAAATACATTTTAAATGCATTAAATATTATGAAAATTAGTTTATTCTGGTAGAAAATGAAAGCTGTCCTGTGAAATAGAATTTTCTCATTAGTCTTGTGGTAAAAGATGGACATTAAAAGGTGGTTAAGAATTTCAGATTAGATAGTGATTCATAGAGGAAAAACTATTCTTCAAATTGTGCTTTTAGAACATTTGTTCAGTACTCAAATTTTATTCTCATATTTTTGACAAATTGATGGAATTAAAATATTCTTTCGGTGTGCTTAAACCTGCTCATTTTTCTTGGTGCTTGTGGCTATGGAAATCCCCTTTGCTTGTGAGGTTAAAATAATATGGTATCCTATTTCTTTCATAGCCTTAAAGTATTTAATCTTTTCCATAGTTGTTCTTATATTTTCAAGTTAGGGAGTTTCTGTCTAAGAAATTTTTTACCTCATTTATTAAATCACTACATATTCCTTGTAGAAAATGTTTTAAATAAAAGAAAGAACAAAGAAAATTAGCCATGATGCCACTAACCTGAGTCTATTAATTTTTTGGTAGTTGCCAAAAGCAGTATAGCATTTTGTAGATAGTGTAGAAAGATGAAAATAAGTAGTAGATTATATAGCAAAACATTAAAGTGGTGAGACTTCTGGTGATTTTTAAGTAGTTTCCTTTTTGCTTGTCTGTGTTTTCTGAGCTTTTAGCACAATAGCAAAAGCTATTAAAACATTAATTGCGGGCCAGGTACAGTGGCTCACGCCTGTAATCCCAGCACTTTGGGAGGCCTGGGCAGGAGGATCACCTGAGGTCAGGAGTTCAAGACCAGCCTGTCCAACATGGCGAAACCCCATCTCTAATAAAAAAAAAAAACACAAAATATTAGCCGGGCCTGGTGGCGGGCCCCTGTAATCCCAGCTACTCAGGAGGCTGAGGCAGGAGAATCGCTTGAACCCAGGAGGCAGAGGTTGCAGTGAGCCAAGATCTCGCCACTGCACTCCAGCCTGGGCGACAAGAGCGAAACTCTGATTCAGAAAAACCAAAAAACAAACAAAAAAAACCCCATTAATTGCCAGCACCCTGAATGGAGCCTTGCCTGTAGATCTTCTACTGTGTTCCTAGTTTATTAGCCTTTTCTTTAGGATTATTTAAGATTTTCATTAAATCATTCAGAAATGATTTAGATTTCTGAAAGATTAAGATTTCTGAAAAATGTTAGATTGGTTAGACTGGAAGATTAGTGGAATTAAGCCATCATCTGTAGAGTGACATTGCATAACAGGCATTGTCTTAGTGACCTTTATGTAATTTAACTACTTCATGGAGCACAGTTTTATAGCTGGTGTGGACTATGACCTCTGTTAATAGAGGACGACTACAAAAAGCATTTCAAAAGAAGCCTTCTTACCTCAAAGCCCGGTATTGTGCTGTTGAGAAACACCCCTCAGGCTAATCTGATGATGATGCCGGAATGTAAATTGGGTGAGCTGAGATTTTAGTCCTTTGCGACCTAAATAGTTTGCCACAAAGCATTTTAGATATTAACAACAGTTTTTAAATATTAACAACAGTAGATGCTAACAGTCACAATAAAAGTTTGCTTTTTGTGCAGATTAAAATATGTATGTGCTTAAATTGTTATTTGCATGTTTTTGTATACACATTTTTCTAGTTTCCTGGATTGCATAGTAGTGTAAGGCTACTCTTCACCTGCAAAGATGATGTCAGCTTCCAGCCCTGACCCCATACCACTCTATGTTTTCTTCCTCTTCTTATGGGTATCAGCTTTTTTAAAATGGTTTATGGGGGATGCTAGAAACCAACCCAATATTATGCTTTGTCTTTCCTCTTTTTATCCTTTGTTTTATAATATAGGCAGGTGTGTGTGTACTTACATGTAGCATCCTATATATACTTTTCTCATCTTTTTTCACCTGACAACATAATTTACAGATTAATCTGTAATTAGCAACTAATAAAAATATTTTCCTTTGTATAGCTGTGTATTGCTCTATTGTGTGGATAGTTCATAGTTTGTTCAACCAGCCCCTTATTAATGGACAATGGGATTTATTTTAGCCTTTTACTATTATAAATAGTCCTGTAGTGAATAGGCCTATGCATATATTGTTTTCTATTTTTACCATCTGTGGTTTAGATTACTGGAAGTAATATTACTAAGTCAAAGAGTAGATAGTGTATTTTTGCTGGGTATTGCTAAATGAACCTGCATAGAAGGTATACCATGTGTTAGAAATGCTTGTTCCTCGGTGCTGTAAAGAAATAGCACTTGAACATTAATTTCCTCAGCAAGGCCATTTTTACTTTCTGCAGAAAGGGTACACTTACCAGCAGTTTTGCCATGAGAGTACACCGAACAAAGGAGACAGGGTCATTTATAACCTGACGCATCCACCCTACTGCTGTGTCTGGTTTCCATTGGCTGGAACGGGACCTCACATTCTGTATTTGTCCCGATTGGCTAGCAACTTAGAACTTTTTAAAAGAGGCAAAGGCAGAGGAGAACAAAGGAAAGAGGAAGTAACTTGTGGAATGCTGAGAAAGGTAAAAACCTTCAAATAAGGAAGAGGAACGGGCTATGACCTAATGCTTGCTTGGACTAGTAAAAGCATGCCAGGGCAGATATTTAGGCTAAAGTGTGGGAGCTAAGAACATAAAGTACATTGATTTCTTTATTATGGCTAGCAGATATTTAAGAATGTTAGCACAGGTCTTTGAATAAATTTTGCTGCTAAGAGAAGTTACTATTTATTCCTAATTAGATGGGGAGGAAAGTTTTTGAAGAGGAAACTCTCCTTTGGTTTTTACACATGTATGAAAGCTTCCCTACAGCCTCACTCTCAGAATATGTTGTCAAGCTTTTGGATTTTTTCAGTTTGATCGGGTGGGAAATGATATTTCAATGTAATTTAAATTTGCACTTCTCTTAGTATAAGCAGGTTTGAGCATTTTTTCATATAGCTAAGAACTATTTGTGTTTCTGTTCTGTGAATGGTTTGTAAGGTTGTTGGTCCTTTATTTTTAGAATCTCTATTTGAGATTGTGGCTCACAGACCCTAAGGTGACCCCCAGTAATTGTGGTAATTACATAGCAATAGAAAACCAACACTGAGATATTACTCTTTTGTCTGTGATACCAATTGTGAGTATTTTTTCTAGTTTGTCACTTGTCTTTTTACTTTTCTTTTGGTGTCTTTTAGTATCCAAAGTTTTTTGTCTTTATGTAATCCAGTTTCTTTTCCTATATTCTGATCTTTTTTAGTCCTAGCTAGAAAAATTTTGCCCAATCCCAGATAATAGAGGAATTTACTCATATTCTCTTCTAGTACTTGTATGGAGTCATGTTTTATAATTAAATATCCAGTTTTCGGGATAAATGATGGGAGGAGTAGACTCTGTTGTTTTTCCTTATGGCTAAACAGTTGTTCTGACATCATTTAGTTGAAAGTCATTCATTTCCTCTCAGGTTTGTGATGTTTTCTTTATTTATACTAAGCTTATACTAAATTTATTTATAGCAAACATATTAGATTTCTAAATTTCTAAATGTAATTGGGTCTTTTTTCTCTTCTTTTCCCATTGGTTTGTCTGTCTGTGCGTGGGCCCTGCTGCGCTGTTTGGATAGAGAAGCCCTGGAGTTCACTTGTTCTGCAGTGGGGCTCACACCCCACTAGTTCTTTTTCCAAAGTTTACCTGGCTATTCCCTGCTTATTTATTCTTTTCCAAATGAACTTTATAATTAACTTGTCTAGCTCCAGAAAAAAAAACCTGATAATATATTTAACATGATTGTGTAGCACTTACAAGTTAACTTAGGGAGAAATGACGTATTTATTAGGATTTTGTGTCTTTTTATCCAAGAATATGGCATGTACATCTTTCCATTAGTTCAGGTCTTCCTTTGGGACCTTTTGGAGCTTCTTATTGTTTTCCTCATAAATGTTTTAGACGTTTATTGTTAAATTTGTGTTTAGTATTTAAGATGTTTGTCTTGATATTCATAAATGAGACTTTTTGTGGGGGAGGTTCAGTCTTTGTCAGGTCTTTGAAATCAATGTTATGTTCATTTCATAAAACAAATTGGGAAGCTTTCCTTTAAAAAAATATTTGGCTTAAGTAGCAGTAGGATTTCCTCTGACACTCTTCTCTGTGCCTGGTAGTTTGTTTTTGTTGTTGTTTTTTATTTTTTTCTTTGGTGTTTTTATTTTGGGGTTTTTTTGGGGAACTCTTTTATGACTTTCTTTGGGACTGGGGTCAATTTTAATAAGTTGTATTTTCTTTAAAAGTTACTCTCTTCTAGCTAGGTGTAGTGGTGCACACCTGTAATCCCAGCTATTCAGGAGGCTGAGAGGATGATGACTTGAGCCTAGAGTGTGGAGTTTGAGTCTAGCCCGGGCAACAGAGGGAGACCCTGTCTCTTTAAAAAAAAAAAAAAAAAAAAAAAACTTTTACATTTTCAAGTTGATTTTGTTAGAACTATACAAAATCACCTCTTTTAAATATTTTCTCTCACAGTGTTTTCAAATTTATTGTTAAGAAATCATGGACTAAGAGGAAGACTTCGTACTTTTGTTGGCGTGTTGAGTATTTTGTTTCATAATGAAACCGTCTAATGAAACTGTTTAAACTGGTTAGCCGTCTTTCTTGCCTCTCCTTCTTCACAATAAGCATTCATTTCCGAGGATGTGGTCTGCTCACACATTATACTCTTCTCTAAGATTTCGCATTGCACAGAATGTGAACAATGTCCTTTAACCTCTTCTGGAACAGAAATACACTTCAAAAATTATACAAACAAGTATGTATTAATTGTTAATACTAAGCGCTATGCTAAATATATGGGGCTGAAAAGATGGAAATGATCTCTGTCCTCAGGGGGCTTGTTTATGGTAAGTATAGCAGTGCTTACCCTACAGGCAAATTGTCTGTTGGGATATCTTGGGTTCACATACCTGTAAAGGATGATTCTGCTGTCAATGTCCCCCTCCAAAGTCACAATGTTGAGCATCTCATTTTCCAGCCATGACATTTCACCTTTCTGGTTCCCTCTGTCTGGTAACAACTCCAGCAATTATTTGGCCACACCAGGTCCTCTAATCCATAGGCCTATCCACATTTTTCATCTTGCCTCATACTTCCACATCCTCACATCTCTGTTTCCCTGGCTTAAATCTGTGATTTGTCATAATCATCCCACTGCATATACCTTGCCCCATTCCTGTACTGTTGTACCTCCCTGGCAAAAACCCACGTCTCAGCTTACAAGGCACCTATCCCTGAGCAGCTACCAGACCATGACTGAAGAAAAACGTAAAACCATAGTGACTTGTCTCACTTTAATAAATTCAAGTTCACAACTGGTTAGCCTTTTATTCATTTAACTTTGAAGAACGTATTAGTTGATGTCTAACTGCTGAAGTTTTGGCCCTATTAACTATTCAAGTTTATGATTGAAAGAATTTGTCACTAGTTGTTTTGCCTTAAGTAACCTGAGATACTTGCTTTGACTCTCTTTTCAAAGGCTTTCAGACTTGGATATTAAAGGCCTGGGTAATTGCCTTTAGAAGGGATAGCAAACAGTATGAAACACAAAGATTTTGTTGTGTAGATACTAGATTCATCATTCATTATTAGTGTAGATTAAAGTTTTAGCTTTTGATTTTTGTTTGGATGTTTTTAGTTTCTTAAGCAGGTGAGAAATTTATTGAATAATAGACATCTGATTTCTTTGCATTTCCTTCATATTTGGGTGTTGGCTTCTTTTTTTTATTTTTGGAGACAGTCTCGCTCTCTTGCCCAGGTTGGAGTGCATGGCATGATCTTGACTCACTGCAACCTCTGCCTCCTGGGTTCAAGCGATGCTCAGAATCCTCAGCATCCAGAGTAGCTGGGATTATAGGTGTGTGCCACCACACCTGGCTAGTTTTTGTTTTTTGTTTTTTTTTTTGAGATGGAGTCTCGCTCTGTTGCCAGGCTGGAGTGCAGTAGTGCAACCTCGGCTCACTGCAACCTCTGAGTCCCTGGTTCAAGCGATTCTCCTGCCTCAGCCTCCTGAGTAGCTGGGATTAGAGGCACGTGCCACCATGCCCAGCTAATTTTTGTATTTTTAGTAGACATGGGGTTTCACCATGTTGGCCAGGATGGTTTCAATCTCCTGACCTCGTGATCTGCCCACCTCAGTCTCCCAAAGTGCTGGGATTACAGGTGTGAGCCACCACACCCGGCCCAATTTTTGTATTTTTTTAAGTTGAGACGGGGTTTTACTATGTTGGCCAGGCTGGTCTTGAACTCCAGATCTCAGGTGATCTACCCACCTTGGCCTACCAAAGTTCTGGGATTACAAGCGAGAGCCACCGCGCCCAGCCCTAACTTCTTGACCTATCCGAAAACAGATAGTTCCTTTATTGCTTCTGAATACCATTATGCTTAATTGTATAAAAGAAATGATGGGATTTTATAAATGTATATGTTTTTAAATTTAGTCTTACGATTTACTATGTAAAAAATACTCTCTAAAGAATTATAATATGGTTTGGGAAAAAGAATAACATCTGCCTGATAGAGTTGTTGAAAGTTAGTATATTTTACAGCTCAGGAAACCAAGGAATCATGATGTTGAGCTGTTGTGGATAGGATGAGCCAGGGTGGTTATTCCATGGAGAATCTGGACAGAGTTAGCCAAATCCTGTTGGTGAGGTCTTTGAGCAGAAAACTTTTTCATTTTGCCCTTAGGTGCTGGCAGGTAGCCAAGAGTGAACCTAAGGAAAGTAGTTTCCCGGGTTTTTTGTTTATTTGTTGTTGTCAGTGAATTCTGTAAGATTAGTCTGCCTGTTTTTATCACAAAGACCATTATTTAAGTTTTGAAATGAGACAATAAATTCCTGAGTTGTTTCTTGTACCTTTTCCAAAAATAAACATGGCTGTTGTTCTGTGCTAGTTTTTATACTATTGTTGAATAAGATGGTCATGACCTCTATGCATAGTATTAAGGTATTGCTTAGCCCAAACAAGATAGTAACAGATTTGTTTAGAAATTTGCAAGCATGTTGCTAACCATATTACAGTAATTTTTTTCATTTATTAACAAATATTTATTAAATTGTTGCTATATTCTACGCATTATTATAATCTCCAGGGATAGACAAAAGCTCTTTCCCTATTGGAGCTTACTTCCTGGTATGGGAGAGATAAACAATAAATAATAAACTCAGGGAATAAGTAATTATGTATACGTAAGAAGGTGATAAATTCCATGGAATAAGGAAGACCAGGTTTAATGTTTAGTGGGTGGATTGAAGTTTTAAATAGGGTAATCTTGGTAGGGCCTTATTGAGAAGAAGATATTCGAGCAAAGATTCAATGGCAGTGAAAGAAGTCATCATGAAATTACCTGGGAGGAAGAGTGTTCTAGACTAAGTGAAGAGCCAGTGCATAGTCCATAATGGAGTGTAATTGAAATGTTTGACCCACAAGGAGACCTGTGTCTAGGACAAAATGAATGCAGAGAGAAGGTGGTGGGAAAAGTGCTCAGAGAGGTAATGCCAGATTACGTAGGGACTTGCAGGTCTTTGTAGGGAGCAGATGGGTGGTCATGTCTACCATTGATATTATATGTTAAGTCTAGATCTAATGACAAAAAATTAATATTTGTTCAGTTTTTACTATATTCATCCTATAGATACTTTTCAGCACTTTCTGTGGGCTATTCATTGTGCTAAGTGAAGGGAAAACATTAAACAAGAAAACAAACAGCAAATGCAAGCCACAGTCCTTGTGAAGACTATCTTGGTTCAGTGCAAAGGGTGGTGTTTTGTGTGTCAGTCATTGTATCTGACACTTTACATATTTTACCTTGTGTAATTCTGAGTATTTCATTTGATTCTGAGTATCCAATAAGATGGACAATGTCATTAACTTGGAATACAGTTGATGAAAATGAGGCTAAGAAAATCTGCTAATTTTTCCAAAGTTGCATTACTGATATATGGCAGAATGGGATTAGAATTCAGTCTTATCTTTTCATTATACCATTGATTCCCAAATCTGGCTGTGCATCAGAGTTAACTTGGAGGCTTGTTTAAGCTAAAGATTCCTTAACCTTATCTCTGGGAATTCCCATTTAGCATAGCTGGCGTGGAGCCCTGGGAATCTGTATTTTTAATAAATACTCCAAGGATTTCTGTATTTTGAAACTACCACCCTCCATTATTATATTTATGGTAGTGTGATACAAGTGATTATAGGAACCTTTGTCTTTTATTTTTAAAGAAAATGGTTTTGTTGTTTCATTGTTTAGTATCATGTTTGCTACCAGATTTTTAGAGATGCTCTTTGTCAGGCAAAGATTTCCCTATTTTTCCTAGTTTGTTAAGAATTGAGTGTTGAATTGTAATAAACTCTTTATCTCCATTGATAAAACCATTTGGGTTTTTTTTCTTTTAATTTATGAAGGTGGTAGATTATGGTTTTTCAAATATTGGACCAACTTTGAGTACTTGAAGTAAATACAACTTGTTTATGGTATATTCAGTTTTTAAAAACATGGTTGGTTTCAGGGTTTTTTTTTTTTTTAAGATTTCTGTAATCTCTCTGAGATTGTCTTTAATATTCTTTCCTTAAACTGCCCTTATTTTGATATCAGAGTGGTAACAGCCTCAGAAAGGGACATGGAGAATCTTTCCTCATTTTCTGTCCTCTGAAGGTCATTGCATCTACCTAAAACCATCTGTTCCTTAGATACTTGGTAGAACTCACTTTTAAAATCACCTAGAAATGTTTTTATGATAGTTTAACATTCAAAGGTACTACAGGGCATCCAGGTTCCTGATTTTCCAGAGTTGGTGTTATGCATTTATGTTTTTCTAGGAATTTGATCATTTCACCTGAATTTGTAAACAGTGCTCCTGTTTTCAGTCTGTGTCTGTATTTATGCCTCTTTCTCATTGTCGTCTTATTTGTGCATTTTTCTTGATATGTTTTGCCAGTGCTTGTGTAGTTGCCCGATGGGTTCTTCCTGCCCACTCCACAGACAAAATCATACCCTGAGACCATAGCATTGCAGTCAAGAAAGAACTTCATTCATGTGAAGCTGGCCCATGCAGGAGAACTGGGCTTATCACTCAAATCCATTTTCCTGAGGGCTCAGAGTTTAGGGTTTTTATGGACAGTTTGGTGGGCAGGGGGCTAGGGAACGAGTGTGGCTGATGGGTTGGGGATGAAATCATAGGGGGGTGGACAACAGTCTTTGTGCACAGAGTTCACCTCTGGGACCAGTTGAGTCATGAGTCACAAGCCTGGGTAGGATCTGTCTGAAAGATATCTCAAAAAAACAATCTTAGGTTTGTTATATGTAAAATGTTTGTTCCCTGGTGCCATAAAGAAATAGCACTCAAATATAAATTTAATTCTCTCAGCAAGGCAATCTGTATTTTCTGCAGAAAGGGTGCTCATCGCAGTTGGAACAATGGCGAGAGCACATTCGAACAAAGGAAAGACGTAATTTTTATCCCTTATGCTGTTTGTTCCTGCTACTGTGTCCTGTCTCCATTGGCTGGAGCCAGACCGCGCAATCTAAACTAAAACCCGATTGGCTAACAGTTTAAAACTTTTCTAAATAGGTAAAAGTAATGGAAAGACAAAGGAAAAGAGGAAGTTGCTTATGCCAAATAGGGAAGGGGCATAGGCTGCGAGCTGGAACGTGCCCGTGAGCATGTCCAGCACAAATATTTTGGTTAAGGTACAAGGACATAGAATGTACTATGCACCTGTGAGCATGTTTAACAGCTACATAGGATAGGGCTTAACAAAGAGTTATTAGCATAAAGTGAAGAGGCTTGAAGGAAGTTAGTCTTTAAAATAAACTATTATTTCTAACACTTATGATTTACTCTTTAACAAGAAGGGAAACTTTGAAGAGGAACTTTTTACTTTCTACAGGTTCTACAATAATGATGTTATCTATAGGAACAATCGAGGAAGTCATGAATTTTGCGACGTCTGGCCACATGACTCCCGAGCAGTAAGGGATTATAGAAACTACACCTACATTTCTGTGGAGTTTAGGCCCTTCCAGTTCCCATTATCATATTCTTGCTTACAAAGGTGGTTTTCAGTCCCTGATCAAGGAAAGGGGCTAGTTATAGGGAGGGGCTGTTATCATCCTTGCTCCTAAGTTAAACTGGAAACCACATTTCTCCTAAAGTTAGCTTGGCATACACCCAGGAGTGACCAGGGACAGTTTGGAGGTCAGCTATGTCAGATTTCTTCTACTGTCACAATTTTGCAAAGGCAGTTTCATTTTATTAATTTTACTGATCTTTTAAAGAACCAGCATTTGGCTTCTGTTGTTTTATTTTCATTTTCTATTAATTCCTGATAATGCTTTTATTATTCTTTTATGTTCCTTGGGTTTATTCAGTTATATTTTTCTTAATTCATAGTTTGTGGTCATGTTTTCTAATATAGGCATCAAAAGCTATAAATTTAGCCATATCCTATGGGTTTTAAAAAAGTTGTATTTTCACTACTTAGGTTCTGTAGAAATCTCTGTAGTGTTCATTTGCACATTTTGTAACCTTTCTAGTTACTTCGTTACCATTGGTTTTTAGTGTACTTGTCTTGGTCACAGCATGTGGCTCCTTGACCCCACTGGTCGCACTCCTCAAGAGCCTTTGCTCTTATTCCCCCACCCCCCCACCCCACCCCACCCTGCATAGCTCTTCCCCAGATAGCTGCAGTACTCACTATTCAGTTTACGTCTTGACACAAGTATCACGTTTTCAGGGAGGCCTTCCCTCTCCATCTTCCTGAAGCTTCACACACCTTCTTCTCCTCGTTGCTCTTCCTGCTTTATTTTCTTTCCTCAGCACTTATCACTTTCTAATGTATTATTTAACACAGTGTTCCCAGCTGGATAGAGAAGGAAGTAAAGCCATTATGGGGTGTATAGCTGGAGACTGAAATAGAATTAAATCATAAGGGAAGTGGGGAGGGCTGAGTGCCCGGACTTTGCCTGTCATGAGACTGAAGACATAGGGGTAGATGCAGCTGAGGAGTCAGGGTTGTGGTTGGAGAGGGAGTTTTTGTTGTTGTTGTTGTTGTTTTTTTCATGTGGAGTCTCACTCTGTCGCCCAAGCTGGAATGCAGTGGTGCGATCTCGGCTCACTGCAACCTCTGCTCCCGGGTTCAAGCAATTTCTCCTGCCTCAGCCACCCAAGTAGCTGGGATTACAGGCGCCCGCCACCACACCTGGCTAATTTATATATATATTTATTTTATTATTATTATTATTTTTGTGTGTGAGTCGGAGTCTCGCATTGTCACCCCGGCTAGATTGCAATGGCGCGATCTCGGCTCACTGCAACCTCCCCCTCCCGGGTTCAAGCGATTCTCCTGCCTCAGCCTCCCGAGTAGCTGGAATTACAGGTGTGCGCCGCCACGTCCCGCTAATTTTTTGTATTTTTAGTAGAGACAGGGTTTCACCATGTTGGCCGGGCTGGTCTCAAACTCCTGACTTTGTGATCCGCCCACCTCGGCTTCCCAAAGTACTGGGATTACAGGCGTGAGCCACCGCGCCCGGCCCTAATTTTTTGTATTTTTAGTAGAGACGGGGTTTCACCATGTTGCCCAGGCTGGTCTCCAACTCCCAACCTCAGGTGATCTGCCCACTTTAGCCTTCCAAAGTCCTAGAATTAGAGGTGTGAGCCACCGCCCCCAGCCGGAGAGGAAAGTTTCAACTTAGACATGAAGAGGTCATCACATCAGTCCTGGATGATGATGAAATTGAGGGTGGGGCAAAGTTCCTTATGTGGAATTTAGGTAAAGGTGACAGCAGGAACACTAACCAAGACATTTGGAGGCAGGGTTGGGCATGGTCCAACATGATAGTGGGAATCAGGCTAAAGAAAACACGAGAAACGACATCAGTGTCCATCTTTCATAGCTGCTAATGGAGTAGCTCTTGGTTTCTTCAGGGTCTGTTTTGGATGGTTCCCTTTTGTGAGGGCCAAGCAGCCCATGGTGGAAGCGGGAAGGCCGGGAGTGGTTTGAGGAAAACAACCTGTAAGCGTGGACCTTGCTATATGGATGAAGAAGGGGTTGGCTCCCTAGGTGCCTGGTTCCTCGTGGATTCAGAGCAGCCTGTCCGGTTACACTCTTTAACTTCAGGATCTCATGGCCTGTGGAAGAAGCAGTGCTTTTGTTTTTGTTGTTTGTTTACTTGCTCTTTGTCTACCCTAAGCGAACATTTTAGGGAGTTATAATGTCTGTTTCCCCTAAATGTCACTGCTCTGTACATTTTTGTTGCAATATTTTTGTTACAAAGTTGCACATTGCAATTTTTTTTTGTCTTTTCATTTGCTCTCATGGGCTTCCTTACTTAGAGAACATTTTCTTCTACTTCAAGTATTTGTGTTTTTCTGTTTATGTCTTTAGTTTTAAAAGTACCTGCAGCTGACATAGCAGCGCTTTCACTGGCGCCTGATTTTCCTTTGTACTATTGTCATTTCCAGCCATGCCTCTGGTATTACTGTTGGTGGGAGTTTTTGTTTGGTTGGGTTTTTGTTTTGTTTTGGTATGTTACTGTTGTTTTGTTTTTTTACTTTTTAATTAACTTGTAGTAGAATACTTAATAGTTCTTGGTTGGCAGACAGTTAAGAAACTGAACTGTTTACCATCTTCTAGGCTTATGGCATAACCTTGTACAAGAGAACCTAATTTTTACAGTGGTGCTTTACTGATGCCAGTTTGCTTTGTCCTGATCTTTTGGGGACAATACCATTTTTAAGATTATTTTATGCTGTAGAAATAAGTAACTTAAAAGCAGTATCTCTGTGCAGTTTTCTTATGTATCTACATTGCTTATATGGTTTCTCTGCCATAAGTCTGTTTACTGAGATGATTTTATATGTGCATTGGGCTCCTTAGAATTCCTTAGGAAATTGTATTAGCCTCCATGAAGATCAGATATCAGAAAGCTTAGGAGAAATTGCCAGGCACGGTGGCCTCACGCCTGTAATCCCAGCACTTTGGGAGGCCAAGGCGGGCAGATCACCTGAGGTCAGGAGTTTGAGAGCAGCCTGGCCAACATGGTGAAACCCCATCTCTACTAAAAATACAAAAACTAGCCAGGTATGGTGGCACGCACCTGTAATCCCAGCTACTTGGGAGGCTGAGGCAGGAGAATCACTTGAACTCGGGAGGCAGAGGTTGCAGTGAGCCAAGATCCCACCACTTTACTCCAGCCTGGGTGACAGAGTGAGACTCTGTCTTAAAAAGGAAAAAAAAAAAAAAAGCTTAGGAAAAATTGCTGTTCAGTGCTACATTTAGTTCTTCTTGCCTTGTTTTATAGGTGAGGGAATATAATTACTTGAACTCTTTATTTGAAAATAACTTAGATTTAGAGTGCACACTAGGGCAGGCATAACCTTTGATTGGAAAGTAGAATTTTTTTTAAGTTGTTTATATTTATTTATTTTTATTGTTTTGAGACAGAGTCTTGCTCGGTTGCCCAGGCCAGAGTACAGTGGTGCAATCTTGGCTCACCACAACCTCCGCCTCCCGGGTTCAAGAGGTTCTGCAGCCTCAGCCTCCCAAGTAGCTGGGATTATTATAGGCGCCCACCACAACCCTCAGCTAATTTTTGTATTTTTGATAGACACAAGGTTTCACCAGGTTGGCCAGGCTGGTCTCGAACTTCTGACCTCAAATGATCCGCCCACCTCAGCCTCCCAAAGTGCTGGGATTACAATCATGAGCCACCACACCTGGCCAGAGTTGCTTAGAGTTGCTTATTTTTAATAATAGATTTTTAAGATCCTTGGATTAAAAAAAGAATCTTGCAGTTCTTTGGTTGGAAGAGACTTTAGTTGTCCTGTTATGATACATGTGGTACTTGTTATTTTCCTTGTGAAAATTATAACCTGATGAGAAAAATTACGCAACTGAAAGCAGTCCAGAACAAAGGTGAAGAAGTATCCATTAACATGGGCAAATGAATCAGTCAGCTATTTCACTGCCGTTGGTTCTCTGAGCATTAACCCACAGGCCTGAGGTTTTCATTGTTGAACCCTTTTTAAAAACTCAGTACTATCCATACATCTTCTTGTATTTGAATATCCGTTAACTGTACGCATAGTGGTCCTACTTGGTGGTTTGGAAAACAGTGATTCTGTATTTGGTGGATGGTTTAAAGTATACTGAAGTGTCTAACATATTTATTCTTCTTTTTTAGGAAATTGACAATGGCCCTTCAGCTATGCTAGGTCTATAATGGGAAGTGTCACAGTTCGGTATTTCTGTTATGGGTGCCTTTTTACATCTGCGACCTGGACAGTTTTGCTTTTTGTTTATTTCAACTTCAGTGAAGTGACTCAGCCACTTAAGAATGTGCCCGTCAAGGGGTCTGGGCCCCACGGACCATCTCCAAAAAAATTCTATCCCCGTTTCACTCGAGGCCCAAGTCGAGTGCTCGAGCCACAGTTCAAAGCAAACAAAATTGACGATGTGATAGACAGTCGTGTTGAAGATCCAGAAGAAGGCCACTTGAAATTCTCTTCTGAATTAGGTAAGTATATGATGTTTACCAGCATCCATATCAATGTATTTAATCACTGGAAGTTTGATTAATTAGTTAATTAGGAGATCAGAAATGCTGCATCATTTTTTCCCCACTGATTTATTTTGTTTGTGAACTACCTGAAGTTCTGTGGTTTCTGCAGACTCAGTGGGGAGTTATATTCTAATTTATCCAGTTCTGACTTCAGTATCTTATGAGAAAACAAACAAGGTCCAGGGAAGAAAAATTAAAAGGCTAGAAAGAAAATGGAACCTATGGGAGAAGGGGTTTGTTTTTTGTTTGTTTTTTTAAGAGATGGGGTCTCACCATATTGCCCAGGCTGTCCCCGAATTCTTGGGCTCAAGCTGCCCTCCCACCTCAACCTTGAGAGTAGCTGGGACTATAGGCATGCACCACTGTGCCCAGCCCTGGAAGAAGGTTTTAATTGCTAGAATTGTTAATAAGGGAAAGAAATGGTTGAAAGTTTCCTTGACTGTATTTAACTTATTTTTAAGGGTACATTTAATTAATACAGAACATAAAGTACTGAGTTTAAAAATAAGCTGGGGTTATTTATATCTAATATGATTTTCACTTAACAAGAATTACTAAGGTGCTAGAAAAAATATATGTATATATAATATAGTTTATGAAATCTTAGTTATAAAATAGCCCTTTTTTCCTCCTAAAAAATTATATTCTCTTCAACTTGGATGCAAGACTCTATTGTCTATGCCTTTGAATACTGCAATTTTAGAGTGTTGATTTTGACATTTTATTTTAAGGGATAAGTGAGCAATTTTTGTTATCATTAAAACTTAAAGAACTTGGATCTTGTCACAAAAACATCAAATAATAGGTAATTTAAGAGTAAAATACAAGAGATTTTTGAGAGATTGAGAGAGCCTTAGAATGTGAAAGAAATGTTAAAATAGAGTTTTCACTTGGTCATAGTTTCAAAGAAATAAAATCAGTTCTTAGGACTTAATGATTTTCTAATATAGGAAGTCAAAAGTATGTAAAATTTTATGAGGAAACAAGCTAATATCTACTTCAGTTTTCATTTAAAAATATTTTTAAATAGAGACGTGATCTCACCAACTTCAATTTTCATAAAGTACAATTTTCATAAATCTTTTTCAAATAGCCAGTGGACATTTTTAAAGCATTAATGGGAAAATGTCTAGCTCTTTTATTTATTTATAGTTACATTGGTAAAGCTTTTATCAAGAAGTAATACTGAGTTTACCATTTTGAATAGACTCTGTATTTGCTTTTGAAAGAAGTAGTGAGAGAATTGTAGATATTGAATAACAAACTCCAGCTGCCTAACTGAAAAACTAAATTCCTTATAGACTATCGTAAAGAATCCACAAAAAACCTATTAGAGGTAATAAATGAATTTGGCAGTTGCAGGTACTAGATCAACAGGCAAAAACCAGTTGCATTTTTATACTGTAGCAACAAGTGGCCTGAAAAATGCAGTTAAGAGATCAATTTCATTTACAATAGCATCAAAAGTCATAAAACACTTAAGAATAAATTTAGCCAAGGAGCTGCAAGATTTGTATGCTGAAAACTGTAAAACATTGCTGAAAGAAATCAAAGTAAACCTACACACATTGAAAGATATTCCAGGTTCATAGAATGGAATACTAAATACTGTTAAGATGTAGGTATCACCCAAAGCAATATGTAGATTCAGTGCAATCCCTATCAAAATGTCAGTGGTCTTTGTTGTAAAGAGGGAAAAGGTTATCCTAAAATTAATATGGAATTACAAGAGGCTCTGAATAGCCAAAACAGTCTGAAAAAGAACAAAGTTGTAAGACTCAGACTTTCCAATTTTAAAAATAAATTGGACTACATCAAAAACAAAAACTTTCGTACATCAAATAACATATCAAGAATGTGAAAAAAGGGCTGGACGCAGTGGCTGATGCCTGTAATCTCAGCACTTTGGGAGGCTGAGGTGGGTGGATCACCTGAGGTCAGGAATTTGCAACCAGCCTGACCAACGTGGCGAAACCCTATCTCTACTAAAATACAAAATTAGGTGGGCGTGGTGGCAGGTGCCTGTAATCCCAGCTACTCGGGAGGTTGAGGCAAGAGAATTGCTTGAACCTGGGAGGCGGAGGTTGCAGTGAGTCAAGATCGCGCCATTGTACTGTAGCCTGGGCGACAGAGCAAGACTCTGTCTCAAAAAAAAAAAAAAAAAAGTGAAAAAAGACAACCCACAGAATGGGAGAAAATATTTGTAAATCATATTTCTAATAAGGGTTCAGTATCCAGAATATATAAAGAATGCTTGTTTGTAATTTTATTTCATTTTGAGACAGGGCCTTGCTCTGTCACCTGCGGTGGAGGGCAGTGGCACAGTCATGACTCACTGCAGCCTCAATCTCCTTGGCTCGTTTGATCCTCCTGCCTCAGCCTCTCGAGTAGCTGGGGCTACAGGGGTGTACCACTATGCCCAGCTAATTTTTGTATATTTTGTAGAGACAAGGTTTCACCATGTTGCCCAAGCTGGTCTCAAACTCCTGGGCTCAAGCCATTCGCCTGCCTTTGCCTCCCAAGGTGCTGAGACTATAGGCATGAACCACTGTGCCTGGGCCCAAACAGTTCTTAAAACTCAGTAATAAAAAGACAAATGGCACAATTTTAAAATGGGCAAAGGATTTGATAGACATTTCTCCAAAGAAGATATGCAAATGGCCAACAAGCAGATGAAAAGATGCTTAATATAATTAGTGATTACAGAAATGAAAATCAAAACAATGAGATAGCCATCTCACACCCACTGGGAGGGCTATAATAATAAACTTAAAAAGGAGAGTAGCAAGCGACAGTGAGGATGTGGAGAAACTGGAGCCCTCACATGTTGCTGGTGGGAATGGAAAATAGTGCAGCCACTATAGACAGTTTGGCAGTTCCTCCATAAATTAAACGTAGAATTATCATATAACCCAGCAATACCACTCCAGGGTTTGTACTTGGAAGAATTGTCAACAGGTGCTCGAAAACTTGTACTCAATGTTCATTAGCAGCACTATTCTCAATAGACAGAAGGTGACAACATGTTATCCAAATATCCATCAACTGATGAAGGGATAAACTAAGTGTGGTCTATCCATACCATGGAATATTATTCAGACAGAGAAGGGAATGACGTTGTGATCATGCTACAACATGGATGAACCTTGAAAACATTATGCTTGTGAAAGAAGCCACACACAAAAGGTCACATGTTGTAGGGTTCCTTTATGTGAAATGTCTAGAATAGGCAGGTCCATGGAGACAGAAGGCAAATGAGTGGTTCCCAGGGACTGGGGAATGGGAGGAATGGGAATAACTGCTTTAATGGGTATAGGGTTTTCTTCTGCGGTGCTGACAATATTCTGCAGCTAGATAATCATGCTGGTCATACAACATTGAGAATGTACTAAATGTCACTAATGGTATGTTTTATGTTACGTGCATAATTATCACAGTTAAAAAATGAAAAACATCCACAATTTCTTACATAAAATAAATTTAATATAGAAGGAATTAGTATAAATAATGTAGTAGTTAAAAGTATGCAGATTTCTGAGTAGAGAATTACTGAACAAGCAGGGAAAGGAACCTATGAAAAGGTATATTTGAGAAAGATTATTGGCCAGGCATGGTGGCTCACACCTGTTATCCCAGCACTTTGGGAGGCTGAGGCTGGTAGATCGCTTGGGCTCAGAAGTTTAAGACCAGCTTAAGGTGGTATCTACTGAAAGTTTAAAAATTAGCTGAGTGTGGGGGCGCATGGCTGTAGTCCCAGCTACTTATGAGGATTGTTTGGGCCCAGGAGGCAGAGGCTACAGTGAGCCGAGATTGCACTACTGCACTCCAGCCTGGGGGACAGAGCAAGACCCTGTCTCAAAAAAAATAAATAAATAAATAAATAAATTTAAAATTAAAAACATTTTCTCATTTAATCTGAAATTAATTATAAAATTAATTGAAAAGGGTCCTCTGGCATGTTAATTCATTGAGGTTTGGCTACAATTTTGAGTAGGGGAATAAGAAAAGTAAGCTAAAACAATCTTTTCATATGGAATCTTTTCAAGAGACCTATAATAGAACATGATTCTTTCATGTTCTGATACTTGTTGAATTAAGGAGTATTTATTGAGAATCTTCTTTGTGCAAGGCTCTGCTCTAGGTTCTAGGTATCAAGCAATTTTAGTTTTATTTCTTTTATGTTTTGGTCATCACCAAAGTCTCTTCTCTTGTGGAGTTTCTCTCCTTGTATAAAATGCTAGTGGAGGTTTGTTGTTTTGTGTTTAAAAAGGATGAACTGCATTTGAAACAGTTTCAGAGAGAAGGCATATTAAGAGATAATGTTTCTCAAAGTAGATATGGGGACACTAGTTGCGTTCAGATAAATTGGGGAAACACTGCATTCTATTTTTTTTGAGACAGAGTTTTGCTTTTGTCACCCAGGCTGGAGTACAGTGGCATGATCTTGGCTTGCTGCATTCGCCTCCTAGGTTCAAGTGATTCTCCTGCCTCAGCCTCCCAAGTAGCTGGGATTACAGGCGTGTGCCACCATGCCTGGCTTATTTTTGTATTTTTAGTAGATACGGGGTTTTACCATGTTGGTCAGGCTGGCGTTGAACTGCTGACCTCCCATGATCCACCCACCTTGGCCTCCCAAAGTGCTGGGATTACAGGCATGAGCCACCACGCCCGGCTGGAAACACTGCATTCTATATCTCAACCCTTTACACCTGGATATTCATAAAACATTCACTGTATTAAAGGAACAGAGTTCTACTATTTTTTAAAAATGGACTTTTATTTATTTATTTATTTATTTATTTATTTATTTATTTATTTTGAGACAAAGTCTTGCTCTGCAGGCTGGAGTGCAGTGGCGCGATCTTGGCTCACTGCAACCTCTGCCTTCCGGGTTTAAGAGATTCTCCTGCCTTAGCCTCCCAAGTAGCTGGGACTACGGGAATGCACCACCACTCCCGCCTAGTTTTTTTTTTTTTTTTTTTTTTTTTTTTTGTATTTTTAGTAGAGATGGGGTTTCACCGTGTTGGCCAGGCTGATCTTGAACTCCTGACCTCAAGCAATCTGCCCGCCTCCACTTCCCATAGTGCTGGGATTACAGGCATAAGCAGCCGCGCCCTGCCTAATATTACAGTGACTTTGATTAGGCCTGTGGAGGAATTCCCTGACAGTTAAACCAGAAACTGTGAAGCTTTTTTTTTTTTTTTTTTTTTTTGAAAAGACAGGATCTCACTCTGTCACCCAGGCTGGAGTGCAGTGGCACAACTGTGGCTCACTGCAACCTTGATGTCCTGGGCTCAAGCAGTCTTCCTGCCTCAGCCTCCTGAGTAGCCAAGTCATGGAGACTACAGGTGTGAGCCACTGAGCCACCACACCTGGCTAATTTTTTTTTTTTTTTTTTTTTTTGTAGTAGAGACAAGGTCTCGCTGTGTTGCCCAGGCTGGGCTCAAGCAGTCCTCCTGCCTTGGCCTCCCAAAGTGCTGGGATCACAGGCGTGAGCCATTGCGTCTGACCCGGGAAGCTCTTTTTATGGAAAAGCTTATCAGTCGCCTTTTTCTGGGGAGGGACTCCTGTAAAAACTCGCATGTAATTGAGGCCTGTCAAGGGCCACTGGGGTTCTAAAATCTATTGCTTTAATGGAAAATTATAAAAATTTTTTTCCTGGTTGCAGGTAAATTTTTCTTTTGAATATAATAAACTATTCTTAAGATTATGGTTTGTGGCCGGGCGTGGTGTCTCACGCCTGTAATCCCAGCACTTTGGGAGGCCGAGGTGGGCAGATCACGAGGTCAGGAGATCGAGACCATCCTGGCCAATATGGTGAAACCCCGTCTCAACTAAAAATACAAAAATTAGCTGGGCGTGGTGGCATTTGCCTGTAATCCCAGCTACTCGGGAGGCTGAGGCAGGAGAATCGCTTGAACCAGGGAGTTGGAGGTTGCAGTGAGCCAAGATCGTGCCACTGCACTCCAGCCTGACGACAGAGGGAAACTCCATCTCAAAAAAAAAAAAAAAATTATGGCTTGTGAGCAGGTGGTGTTTATGGTTAAGACACCTTGCTTTGACCTAGACTGATAAGAATTTGACTTCAACCTAGAGACAACCTAAGTTTGAGAAAAGAGATATTAGATTATAATAGGATAAAGTCAGCATTTTCTTAAGATCATAATATCGTTAACAGTAACATGATACTTTCTAGATTTAATTCGCTGACTAACTTCACTCTTTTGCAGGTATGATTTTTAATGAACGCGATCAAGAGTTGAGAGACTTGGGCTATCAGAAACATGCTTTTAATATGCTTATCAGTGACCGCTTGGGCTACCACAGAGATGTGCCAGACACAAGGAATGCAGCGTATGTGCCTTATCGGATTTGCAAATACATTTTAACAACACGATGCTTTTAGTGTCAGTGTAAGAGGTCACGAGGACGGGGTTCATATTTCCCAATGCAGCGTCTTTATTCAGCATACTAGGAAACTTGAGACAGATTTCCACTTGTATTATATGTGAAGCCACATGGTCTGAGATGTACCAACAGAGTCCTGGAGCTTGCTGTGTCTCCTTTAACATTTCAGATCACCTGGGGAAGCAGAGTAGGGTGCTAATTAAATAACCTGAGTATAAGTTTGTTCTAAATGTTTATTGATTGGATTCATGGCAAATAGGAATTAACATCAGTGAAGAATTTTACTCTCATTTCACTTTTCTCTTTCATTGTTTTTTTTCCATCAAAGGCTTTTCGTGCATGTGGTCAGTCATTCCACAGACAGACATTTGTTGAGCACCTTCTGTTTGCTACACGCCGTCTTGAGCCCTGGAAGAAACAAACAGATGTAGTAGTTCCTCAGTTCTCAGGGCTAGAGTCTAGCAGGGGAGGCAAATAAGTCAACAAGTCCTTACATGAGTAAGGGCTGTGACAGGGTTTGGGGAAATGGGGGCATAGTACTGGAGTGGTCCCTGCAGAGAGGTGACAAGGCTGGAGGGAGGCAGGGCTCAGATGCTGGAGGGCTGTGTGTGCCCTGGGAAAGAATTCAGGGTTCTCAATGTGTTCTCTAAGTTCATGGCTTTTTTTTGGGGGGGGGGGGATGGAGTCTTTCTCTGTTGCCCAGGCTGGAGTGTGGTGGCATGATGTCGGCTCACTATAACCTCCACCTCCCAAGTTCAAGTGATTCTCCTGCCTCGGCCTCCTGAGTAGCTAGGACTACAGGCGTGCACCACCACGCCTGGTTAATTTTTATAGTTTTAGTAGAGATAGGGTTTCACCATGTTGGCCAGGCTGGTCTCAAACTCCTGACCTCGTGATCTGCCCACCTTGGCCTCCCAAAGTGCAGGGATTACAGGCGTGAGCCACTGCGCCTGGCCAGTTCATGGCTTTTTGATGTTGCTTAAAGCTCCTAACCCTTTTTTTCCCAAATAGTTGCTTGGAATGATTTGATACATGGAAGCTCTTCTGTTATCTTGGTATATCATAATTTATTCAAATCTTTTTTATTATTGGGCAAAAAAATAAAATTTCAAATATAAAGTCTTATATTTGTTTCCTTTTGAAACCTCATTGAGGAGAAGCTGGACATCAGCTCATGAGTGCTGCATGAAACACTTGCAGTGATTTTGGTAAAAAGAACTCACATTTTTATGTACCCTCTCTTCCAAAAAAGAAAAAAAACCCTGAAGTTTAAAAAGTCTTTATTCGGCTGGACATGGTGGCTCACACCTGTAATCCCAGCACTTTGGGAGGGCGCGGTGGGTGGATCACGAGGTCAGGAGATCGAGACCATCCTGGCCAATGTGGTGAAACTCTGTCTCTACTAAAAATACAAAAATTACCTGGGCGTGGTGGCGCAGGCCTGTAATCCCAGCTACTCAGGAGGTTGAGGCAGGAGAATCGCTTGAACCAGGGAGTCGGAGGTTGCAGTGAGCCGAGATCGCGCCACAGCACTCCAGCCTAGTGACAGAGCAAGACACCGTCTCAAAAAAAGAAAAAATTTATCCAAAAGTAAACAAGATAGCAGGTATAGGAGGGAGACATTATTAGCAAAATGTAAAACTCTTGAAGAAGAAACCGTATTGTTTTTGTAAATGCTTTTAAAAAAAATTGTTGTTACCATAATGTTAGAAAGAGGCTGAACAGGCTGGACGTGGTGGTTCACGCCTGTAGTCCCAGCACTTTGGGAGGCTGGGGTGGGCAGATCACCTGAGGTCAGGAGTTCGAGACCAGCTTGACCAACATGGAGAAACCCTGTCTCTACTAAAAATGCAGAATTAGCCGGATGTGGTGTCGCATGCCTGTAATCCCAGCTCCTCGGGAGGCTGAGGCAGGAGAATCGCTTGAACCTGGGAGGCGGAGGTCACGATGAGCCGAGATAGCGCCACTGCACTCCAGCCTGGGCAACAAGAGCGAGACTCCGTCTCAAAAAAAAAAAAAAAGGCAGGGGGTGGGGGAAGAGGGTGAACAAGGGGACAGTAAATCTGTAGGTGAATAATAATCTAAACCATTCGAGCCTTTTAAAATGTCAGAATTTCCTCATCTTTATCTTTACAGATGTAAAGAAAAGTTCTACCCACCTGACCTGCCAGCTGCTAGTGTTGTTATCTGTTTCTATAATGAAGCGTTTTCTGCCTTGCTTCGGACAGTGCACAGTGTCATAGACCGCACGCCAGCACACCTGCTTCATGAGATCATCCTTGTGGATGATGATAGTGACTTTGGTAAGGAATGCTGCACCTGGTAACATTGGATCCAGGCTGTCAGTCACTACAGCACTGACAAACACTAACACAGCTGAACTTTCAAGTACGTGGTAGGTGGGGATCCTACACGTGCAGTCACAGCTGGGCTGACCACAAATAAGTCTGAAGAAATCCATTATCTTTGTAACCTGCTTATAAACTATGCTACCCAAATTTGGGCCGTGAAATTTTTTCCGTGGCTTACTTTAAAAAACACACCTCTTTTTATTTGAAATAACTGTAGGTTCACAGGAAGTTACAAAGACGGCCTATGTACCTTTATCCAGTTGCTCCATCATAAAATTCCCCTGTCAGAACCAGGAATCCACATTGGTACAGTGTGTGTGGTCCAGGGTCATTCTGTCACACAGGTGGACTCCCACAACCCTCACTGCAATGATACAGAACTGTTTCCTCACCCGGAGGGCCCTTGTGCTGCCTCTTTCTAGTCACACCTCCTGCTTTCCTCTACTCTTCCCCAGTCCCTGAAACCACGACTCTATGATTTTGTTTCCATCTCTGATTTTGTTATTTCAAGAATGTCATATAAATGGAATCACACGGTATGTGACCTTTTGAGATGGGCTTTTTTCATTTGGCATGATGCCTTGGCTTATGCTTCTCTATTAAGTCTCTTACACTGATCGTCCCCAGATAAAAGTGGATTGCATTCTGATAGCTCCTCAATGATCTCTGAATGCCAGTATTTTATGATTCACTACATATTCTATATTCTGTACGCCTTTCTTAATTCAACATAGACTCTTGCTAAGAATGGCTTTGTGTACCCAAACAGGATAGAAGGCTTTTTATTACACTGCTCATTCAGCTCTCAGTGACCTTGCAAGAAAGGCTGGAAGCCCATTTTATAGAGGGAGAAATATAAAAAGTAATTTGCTCAGACCCCATAGCTGTTAAGTAGTAGAGTGGAAATGAGACCTCTGGTCTGCATAGCTCCAAGCCTTCTGCTCTTTTCATGACAGCAGGCTGCAGGAACACAGTGGTACAGGTGTATGCCAGTGACTTTTTCATGCACTCGAGCGTTTATTAAGTACCACTTGTATCAACATCAGAGTTGGTATACCAGTATACTTAAATATAGAAGGTAAAGAAATGGAGAGAGTCATGGGAGCAAAATTCTCAAACCTTGGCCAAAAACAAACAAACAAAAAACCTAATAAATAAATCTGAGTCTGGACCACGTAGAAGATTGGTTACATACTGATTTCTAGAATTTATGGTTGGTTTTTGTTTTTTTTTAAGTCAACTTGTATTTTGGTTTTCACTTTGTGGCTATTTTACCTAAAAGGAAAAATTCATAATTTGAGGTGGTTTGTATATTAACTATGGAAAGAATTACTGCTTATTATCTTACACGATCTTTCAAGTTATTCTGAAATATACAGGTGAATGACATAGAATTCCTTAAAAAATATTTAGCAACCTTGGAAGAAAGATGCTAAATTAATAAAAGGACATATTCAATGCTGTTCTTGTTATTCTTGGTAGGGGCAATAGAAGTTGTTTCTTAACTATTTTGAAATGGACTAAGACTTAATAAATTCCTTTGTAATAAAAGGCATTTATATCTCATTTTCTTTGTTATCAATGTGATTTATATATGGTCAGCTGAACATTTATGCACTCAAAATACTCATTTCAAACATTCTTTGTGCAAAGCATTGTGCTCGATGCTATGGAGATACAAATAAGTCTGTAACTAAAGTAAGTATTCCTCTTTGCTAGTATTCCAGCTCTTACCCTTCATTTCTTTTTCTTCCTACAGGATAAGCTACAATACTCTTTTAAAGTAAAATATTCTGTAGTATTTGCTTGATAGTTTGTTGTAAATTTTAGCAAGTACTAGATACAACTTTAGAATAGCTGTAAAGTGTCTTTATATATGTCTCATACAGTTTGAATAATTGTGGGACTTTATTTTCAGATGATTTGAAAGGAGAACTAGATGAATATGTCCAAAAATACCTCCCTGGAAAAATTAAAGTCATAAGAAATACAAAGCGTGAGGGGTTGATTCGAGGGAGAATGATTGGCGCGGCCCACGCGACAGGTATCACTTCTCGTTAGCTTTGCTCTACAGGTGTTGGATGACAAGGGCTCGAGCCTCAGCGCCTGTCCTGATTCTGCAAAGTCTATGAAGAGTAGTGTTTCAAACGGACATTGCCAGCAGGAGAGATGAGGCTTGTTCTGTTTGGGAAAGACCTGTTCATAACGCCAAGCCTGCCATCCCAAAGCACATAGTGCAGGGGGCTGAACTCTCAAATCCTCAGTGTCTATTTTCATAGCAACCCTTCTTTGATACTTACTGCCCCTCAAATATATTTTATATCTTATTCACTTATATAAGCAGAAAAGCCCAGACCAAAATGTAACTGAATTTTTATGTTTTTAAATACAAAATTTAAAATGTATGAACCCAAACTGTCGATTGGAACTATGCTTTTAACTCTTAGTGCGGAGTGCATCCCTCTGGAGCCACACATCATGACTTTAATTGGTTAATGGACGTAAGATTGACTTACAAAACTATAAATGGCATTTTCTTTAAAATTCCCTCTTAATCCTTCTGATTCCATCAAGGAGCAAGTCTCCGTTGTTACTAGTATATTTCCATCATACACTGCTCTCCCCCTTTAAAAAGAAATAACCGATCTCAAATTCAGTCTTCTGCAGAAAATATATCTGGTTAGTCTTCAGTTACGTTATATTGATTCTGTTGTATTTCGTTTTATGGTTACCTATGTGTAATTGGTCTCCCTGAGTTTCATTTATGACTGTAATTAAAACATTTTTAAATAAATGTAATTAAAACTAATGAATCTGTTTAAAAATGTTAGGCATGTGATATTGCAGGTAGGGCATGGACATGGCGAAAAAATTTTGAAAATCATTTGAGAATGATGGAACTTGGTGGGGATATTCCCTAGCAGTGACAGCATCTACTGCAGTCCTTCCTATATTCCACGCTCTCCTAGATAACCTGCCTCTGGGTTTGTGGTGGTCGGCACTGCTCACCACCACTCCCCCTGTGGAGCCACTGGCTCGTGTGCTGGGCTGAGTTGGAACTTCACTTTTAGTATCTGTCTTCTCTTATTTCTCTGAAGCCCACAGTGACCTGAAGCAATTAACAAAAAAAAAAGAGAAGCAGCTCCTCTACATCCTATCTGCAGTGGATGCAGACTGAATTCAAGGCTTGTGAGACTTTTTTTCTAGGTTTCTAGTCATGTAAAAACTTACTGAATTGGCTGTGTGGAGTTATTTAAGGCAAAGCAATAAAGTGAAAATCCTGGGGTATTTTCAATATTAAGCCACTCAAAACATTGTACTGTTACAATGCAAGTTTACTGTGAACTGACTTTTTTTTAGATAGCAATAGCTATTTAGGTTTTTTTCCCTTATGATCTCTTCAGGTCCTCATTGAGATATAGTTTAGGATCTGTCCGAAGCAAGCCAGTTTGCATGGAAGTCATTGTTTCAGGTTCACTGTGACCAGATGTGGTCTTCCTTTAAATTGGTGTTAATTGGAAAAAGTAACACTTTTAGAATTAAGAAAAGCTCTGAATCCATTTTCTCCTCGAAGCAATTGTGATTGGTCTCACCTCACCCCCACTGATGTGCATGTGGAAGGTTCTGCCTTTCTGCATTAAGTGACAGCGGAGAGCTGCCTACATCCCCCACCCTTCAGGCTGTTTACAGACACTGAGCTGTGGGACTGATTCACGGGCATCATTGAAAACTGTCTGAGATACTGCTTTTATCACTAGTTGAAGTTGGATAGATAACATTTGGTGCTTTAAGTAGTTCATGTAAAATCTTCATACATTTCACGAGTGCACTTTTAGAAAAACAATAATGTGACCTGATGATGTCATTCTGAGTTTCTCAACTGCTCAGAAGAACCGTGGAGCTCTTAAATTTGAAATTATAAAAAAAAAAAAAACCTCAGTTCTGCTCACATTTATCAAGAGGAGCTTAAAATGCAGAATAAAATGTCGATGATTTATATGTTGCTAACTAGAAGAAAGGTGTATCCCATTGGCAGGTGAGAGCCACTGAAGCTAAGAGGGTGGGGGGCAGTAGAAAGGAAAGGTGGGAGATGGAAGAAACAGAAATGAGCAAGAGGCGTCCCCGAGAGCGCCACCAGCTGCGCCTCCCTCTCTCCGGGGAGAACTGCTGTGTGGCAGCCATCATCCATAGTTACAGTGCATGTCCTAGTCACCAGTGAGAAGGCAGCTGTGTTCTCTGTACTCTGTTTACTGAGGCAGAGAGATGTCTTCTAAGTGTGTGCCAAACTTCAAAATATTTTGATTAAAATAATTGTAATAAAAATACCTACATACAACTGGCCACCGTCATGGCACCAAAACATCTTGGAATACTCAATATCTGGGCTTCCAAAGAGTTGAGTTGTTACGGTGAGACTTTGACTCTGTTTACTGAAGAGATTCTGAATTGCCTGTCAGTTTTTTCAAGAGTCGCGCGTATGATTTGTATGGGTCCCTCAATCACAGCAGGACACTGCACGCAGCATTACTGGCTGAGGGACGTCCTTGTTGACCACCGGCAGTGAAGTGTAGTGGAGCAGTTAGGCCGTCTGGGGCTGGGAGGGTGGCAGTCGTGTTTCATGCTGTGTCAGCGCGTCATCCCATTGGACGGGTGGTTGTACCTAAATTGAGTGTTGTGACACTCTCCTGAGCCTCTGTTGTTTCCTCCCCAGGAGAAGTCCTTGTGTTCCTGGACAGCCACTGTGAAGTGAATGTGATGTGGCTGCAGCCCTTGCTGGCCGCCATCCGTGAGGACCGGCACACCGTGGTGTGCCCAGTGATTGACATCATCAGCGCCGACACGCTGGCCTACAGCTCGTCCCCTGTCGTCCGCGGAGGGTTCAACTGGGGACTGCACTTCAAATGGGATCTTGTCCCCCTTTCTGAGCTAGGACGAGCGGAGGGAGCCACTGCACCAATAAAGTAAGATCGCTCCTTTGTTTGACAAATTCCTACCAGTGCTTCCTTAAAAGAGAACAAAATGATATTAAAGATAATTCCTCCTTCTTTGTAAGGAGCAAAAGTGTTAGACTTAATTTGTACGTTAAAAATTCTTGAGTACGTATTGAATTTTATGCAGTCTGCCAAGTCCTAAGGAAAGATTTATGAGTAAGACAGTATGTGTGCCCTCAAGGACTTAGAGCCTGTGAGAAGAGCAGACAGACCAGGCCACCATTGCAGAGGAAGCCCTGGGAGGGCCCCGTGTGGTGGTTGCTGTTTGGTATGTCAAACACTGCGGTGTATTTATAGTTCACTAACTTACCTTCAGTTCTTTGGTAGCCGGAGTGATGTTGTGAAAAACATTAATACGTAAGCCTTTTCTTTCATTAGGATTTTGAAGATGGATTCCTGCTAGTATAATTACTAAGTCATAGTATAGGAATTATTTTACGTTCTTATCTGTGTTTCATCTTCTGTAATATAAAGCTGCTCTTATTTTTGTTTTCTTTAAAAATTTCTTACGTAGATTGAATTCAAAGAGGTGTACCTGTATTTTAACTTTTTAAAGAATACATTTGTTCTTGATTTGCCAGAGTGTAATCAAAATTGGTACTTTCTCCAAACAATGCCAGGATCTCAGAAGGTTCACGTTTCAGTTATTCCTCCCCCAATTTATTTGTTATTGTTATTATGTTGTTATCGTTGCTTATTTGTTGTTATATACAACAATATTGTATATTGTTATATAATTTAAACCCCAGAAGCCATTTCTTACGTAGCAGTATTCACACAGGCTTGCCCAAGTATCTCCGCTTTATGTTACCCTGTTCTTTCTGCAGCTGTAGGCTCTATCCGGGATTGCTCCCACACTCTTAGTCGTTCTTTTAGTTGGACATCCTAGTGATCAGTCCTCTGTTTTTCCGAAAATGTCCTTATGTTTCACCATTGTTTTGAAGAACATGTTTACTCAGTATCCAGTTCTAGGTTGGCAATAGCAGACATATATGTTCTTTCAGCCTTTGAAGGCATCATTCAAGAACCTTCTGGCATTCACCGTTTCAGACAGGAAGTCAGCGTTGTTAGTCTTACTTTGCTTCCCTTAAGATAATCTCTTTTTCATTGGCTGCTTACATTTTTTTTGGTCTTGTTTTTAAAAAGTGTCTTTTGGATATGTATAAACATGGTTACTTTTTTGAAGTAACTAATTTGCTGCCGAATTCTGCCTTGTCTTTTTTGTTGAATATACTGAGCAGTTAAAGTCTTTGCTTGATAATTCCATATTTGAAACCCCTTCATATCTGTTTCTGGTGTATGTTGTTTCTCTCATTTTGTTTTCATGTGATTTTATCTTCCCATTTGCCTGGTTATTTATTTGTTGCTTATTTATTTTTGCTTAGTGCCAGACATGATATATGAAAAATTATAGAAATACATTCATACCTGGGATGATGTTTTTTCCCTGCAGAGATAATTTTGCTTCTCTTGTGCAGGCAGCTTGGGCCACTAGAATCCACAATCCCCTCTATCCAGTTTTAGGAAGTGAGCGGACTGGAAGCTAGCTCGAGTCCCTGAGAGGACTAGTCTGTGGCTTTTCTCACTCCAGCACAGGGCTTCTCAGCCTTGGCACTACTGACATTTTGGGCCAGATAATTCTTTGTTGTAGGGGCCCTCTTGTGCATTTTAGGATAGGTAGCAGAATCCCAGACCTCAACCCAGATTCTAGGAGCACCCTGCCACACAAACACATCAAGATGTGACAGCTAAAAATGCTCCCAACATTATGAAATGTCTGTTGGGGACACAGTCATCCCAGTTGAGAGCCACTGGTCTAACTTGTGTGAGTCCAACTCCCAACGTGTGATGTTTGTCAGGTCTCTCCTTGGTGGACCTTAGAGCCCAGTTTTGATCCCCAAGGCTCTGTGAGATTGTCAGAAGGAATGACCATATCAGGTGGCTTTCCATCAGAAATGGTTATAATAGGAAAAGAACTTTCGAGACTTAGAAAAGTAGCCTTCGTATGCCAGATACTAGCATATTATTAGCAATCTAGAAAATTCAGTTGTATGGCCTGGCTCATTCTCTGATACTGGATAAAATGATTCATAATCATTAATTCAATTTTTATTAGTTATGTTCCAAAATGACACTGAGTATTTTAAACAAAAGTAGTAGGTAAGATAACTGACTATAAGGAATGAGTACAGTAATTTTCCTTTTTCTAGGTCACCAACAATGGCTGGAGGTTTGTTTGCCATGAACAGACAGTATTTCCATGAACTTGGACAGTATGATAGTGGCATGGATATCTGGGGAGGAGAAAATTTGGAAATATCATTTCGGGTAATTTAATTTTTGCATGCTCAATTAATAACTGTGTAGTGGAATATGATTTTCATCCATGATCTCATATTTTCTTTATATTCTCCTTGATTATTTTTTTTTCGAGATAGGGTCTTTCTCTGCTGCCCAGGTTGGAGTGCAGTGGCGTGGTCATGGCTCACTGCAGCCTTGACCTCCTGAGCTCAAGCGATCCTCTTGCCTCAGCCTCCTGATTAGCTGGGACTACAGGCATGTGCCTGTAATTTTTCTATTTTTTGTAGAGATGGGCGTCTCACTATGTTGCCCAGGCTGGTGTCGAACTCTTGGGCTCAAGTGATCCTCCTGCCTCGGCCTCCCAGAGTGCTCCATGACTATCTTTATTGACAAATTGTCCTTAATGAATGCTACTTTGTCAGAATCTGTGATATGGATAATATCTGTTCGAAATGTCAAGAGTATACATGTTGATCCATTGGCTAGGAAAACAACAACAAAATGAAAAAGCATGTAAGAAGCCATGTATTTATTGGTATTTATTTTTTTGAGACAGGGTCTTGCTCCGCTGCCCAGGTTGGAGTAGAGTGGGATGAATACAGTGGCTCACTGCAGCCTTGAACTCCTGGGCTCAAGCGATCCTCCCACCTCTCAGCCTCCTAAGTAGCTGGGAGTACAGGCGCATGCCGCCACACCTGGCTAATTTTCTACTTTTTGTAGAGATGCGAGTCTCACTATGTTGCCCAGGCTGGTCTTGAACTCCTGGACTCAAGCAATCCTCCTGCCTTAGCTTCCCAAGGTGTTAGGATTACAGGCGTGAGCCACTGTGCCTAGTCTGTTTTTATGGATTTAGAGGTACAAGTGCATAGTGTGTGGTGGTAAAGTCTGGCTTTTAGTGCACTCATCACCAGAGTAATGCACATTGTACCCAACAGGTAGTACTTCATCCCTCACTCCTCTCCCATCTTTTAGAGTCTCCAGTATCTGTTATTCCACTCTGTGTGTGTGTGTATATATATATATATATTTTTTTAAATTATAAAAGTATTGTTGTAATGAATGGTTGGATATAAATTTAAAATGTCTTAATGTGCTAATTTAAAGGTTTGTTCTTTTTTTGTTGGTTTATTTTATTGATACTACCAGATACATATAGTCATATAGTCAGGGTGACCAGATTTCCCTGAGGCCTAAGACCATCCTAGTTCATACCTGTTCTCTTGGAAAAATAAATAGCTTCCCATTGTACTTTCAGAAACAGCTCAGTTTGATGCTGCATTATACCATCACCCCATGTATAGCTTACCAAGTCCTTTGTGTATACAGGCACCCCTGTCCCGAGGAGGAAATCCACCTCGCATTATCTGTCTTCTCCAATTGCTAAGGTTTGAAAGGTGACAGCATAGGTGGAGTCTGTGGCTCAGAGGACCATGGTGTAGACAGTCTTTGGGAAAGGCAGAAAGAGGGCGAGGGGAGAGCTGAGACTTCTCCTTCCAAGCAAATATCCCAGTATTTCTCCCAACCATCTCCTAGTCCAGTTAGCAGAATCCCTATCAGATAATACCATGATACTTGTTCATATGTCCTTCTGTATTTCTGCAAATGTATTGACTACAGTATTTTTAAAAAGCAAGTTTTGGCTGGGTCCATGGTGGCTCACGCCTATAATCCCAGCACTTTGGGAGGCCAAGGTGGGCTGATCCTGAGGTCAGGAGTTCAAGACCAGCCTGGCCAACATGGTGAAACCCCGTCTCTACTAAAAATACAAAAAAATTAGCTGGGCGTGGTGGCGGGTGCCTGTAATCCCTGCTACTCGGGAGGCTGAGGCAGGAGAATCGCTTGAACCTGGGAGGCAGAGGTTGCAGTGAGCCAAGCGCCACTGCACTCTAGCCGGGGGGACAAGAGCGAGACTGTGTCTCAACAAAAAAAAAAAAAGAAAAAGCAGGTTTTCATTCTGTAAGTTTTAGAATGTTAGGGTTAAAGGCGTAATAGATTTTATTATGCTTCTTATTTAATAGATTTTATTATTAAAAGTTCAGTCTCTTTTTAGATAAGGCAATCTAATCCCACAAAAACGAACTTAACTCCAAAGTAATTCAGATAGTCAAGGACAGAATTTAGACCAGAGCTAAGGTCTTTTGAATCTTAATCTGGAGTTATTCTATATATTTTATATTAAAAAATCTGTTTTCCAAAAAAGAATATGCATTGTATAAGCAAGTACCTGTGAAACTAAAATGAGAGAACAGGTAATAAGCACTTCTTAAAAGAAAATAAATAAATAAATAAATAAAAATAAGCACTTCTTGTTCTTAAGTGCCTAAGATCAAGTCTCTTGATCTGTTAAAGCAACAAAGTTGGGTAAGTGCAATTTCAGACTTATGGTAGTAAATGCTGACTATAGCATTGTTTTAGCATTTAGTTCCTTGTAATGATAAAGACAGACAATTTCTAACAATGTGTACCTTCTCATTTCCTTCTATTTGAATATTTGTATCTAATAAGATAAATATCTTGCCAAGTTTCATAAACACCTATTGAATAAAGATTAATTTCATTGAAAATTCATACATTGGTTTCACAACAACATGAGGCAACTGTTAACACCTGTTTTTGCTTCTGGCCAGATCTGGATGTGTGGCGGTAAGCTCTTCATCATCCCTTGCTCTAGAGTAGGACACATTTTCCGAAAAAGGCGACCATATGGATCTCCCGAAGGCCAGGACACCATGACACACAACTCTTTGCGGCTGGCACATGTCTGGTTGGATGAATACAAGGTGAGATGAAATTTCTTGTTTAGAAGGATGAATGATAGGCCGGCAGTGACTGGCCTAGTGATAGCTTTAGTTGCTTACTTTTCACTCTGGCATATTTCTCTTGGTTAACCTTCACCTTAGGGCCAACTCTTTCTAGTTTCCCCCCACCCCCTTCACCTAGTACTTCACTTCTTTCTGGTTCTAATCTGACTCTTTTAATTTTGTAAGTGTCTACTCCATAAGAAGTAATGCGGCTAATGTTGGAAGAAATTCCATCTTCAGTTTCTTTATTCCGTCTGGTCTCTCTATTGTGACGCCTGCAAAAGTTGGCTTTCTTTTTTTTTTTTTTTTTTTTTTTTTTTTTTTTTTTTTTTTTTGAGACAGGGTCTTGCTTTGTCACCCAGGCAGGAGTGCAGTGGTGTGATCACGGCTCACTGCAGCCTCAGTCTCCTGGGCTCAAGTGATCCTACTGCTTCAGCCTCCCAAGTAGCTGGGACTATAGGCATGTGCTACCATGCCTGGATAATTTTTTTTAAAAAGTGTTTTTTTTTTTGTTTGTTTGTTTTTTTAGAGATGGGATCTCACTGTGTTGCCCAGGCTGGTCTTGAGCTCTTGGGCTCAAAAGATCCTCCTGCCTTGGCCTCCCGAAGTGCTGGGACTACGTGTGTGAGCCACTGTGCCAGGCCTGGCCTTTTCTTTTACTCATTGGACTTCGTGGTGACCCAATCCCGTTTCTTCCCCTGTTAGAGGGCACATTTAGAATTACTTCCCACTTTCTCTTCTGCCTTAGGTCACTTTATATATTTTCTTTGTAATGATTTATTGAAGTATAATCCAAAAATTGATTTTGGAATATTTTATCACTGCAAAAAGAAGTCCATAGCCTTCGATCATCTCCCCAAAGTCTCCCTCTCTGCCTCAGCCCTAGACAGCCAATAAGCAACCATTAATCTACTCCTTGTCTCTACTTAATTTGCCTTTTCTGGATATTTCCTACAAATGGAATCATAAACTATGTGGTCTTTTCTGTCTGGCTTCTTCAGTTGAGCATGGCGTTTTCAGGTTCATCCGTGCCGTTCCATGTATGGGTCTGCATTCCTTTTTATTGCCAAATAATATTCCATTGTATGAACAGACCACATTTTACTTTATCCACCAGCTGATCAACATTTAGGTTGTTTCCACTTTTTTTTTTTTTTTGAGACAGAGTTTCACTCTTGTTGCCCAGGCTGAAGTGCAACGGCGCAATCTCGGCTCACTGCAACCTCCACCTCCTGGGTTCGAGTGATTCTCCTGCCTCAGCCTCAGCCTCCCGAGTAGCTGGGATTACAGGTGTGAGCCACCACGCCTGGTTGCTGCTGTATTTGTGTATAGCTATTTTTTAAACATTTGTTGTGCACCTCCTGTATGCCAGGCTCTGTGTTAGGGCGTGAGCCACCACGCCTGGTTGCTGCTGTATTTGTGTATAGCTATTTTTTAAACATTTGTTGTGCACCTCCTGTATGCCAGGCTCTGTGTTAGGTTTTGGGGGATAAAAGATGAATAAGGAAGTGCACAGTAATTTTTCACACCGTGAGGGAAATGTCAACAGAGACATGTAGCTTGTGCTGGAATGACAGGGACACAGTGGTGCACTGTGTTTGGGGGCAGTAGGGACTCCACAGTGCTTCTCCTACAGCACTGTTTATCTCCCCTCTCCCTCCTTGACCAGACTTTGAGGTCTAATTCCATGCTCATCTCTGAATCATCACTGGCTACCATAGTTCTCAACACATGGTCCCACTCCTAGCCACTCTTTGAGGAGGTCTGCCAGTTTAAACTCATTTTCATAGTCAGGTTAATACAGTATTTGCCTCTTTGACCGTGTTGACATTGCACTGAGTGTGTAAAATCAGGGGAGTAAAGTGGCTGGTGCCTTAGCATAAATCGAGGCATCAGCACCCAGTTATACTGTAGTCACTGCATTCTTCACCAGCACTCACTCAGAAGACAAAGGCCAGCTGCATTTCCGAATATCATTGATATAATAATAATTTTAGTAAATCTCAATGTGCCTTTTTAGTATCCTGTGTGAGTATGCGTGCTCATACAAAAAGCACTTCTGCTGTGTACTGAAGTACGGTGCTTGGTTCAAGGAAAAACACTTGTGCAGTTGTTTGAGTTATGGGCGGAGCTAGCGGCTGCTCTCCAGAACACTCTTTTTATATGTTAAGACTGACTCACAAACCATAGTTACTCGTATTTGGGTAAAACGAACTAAATAATGAAAATGAAAACAACTGACAGTATTTGTTGCAAATGACAAAATTCAAGCCCTCAAGTGAAAATTAGAATTTTGAAAAACTTACATTTACCGCCAGGAGCTTGACAGCTTCCTAGTACTTAAAAATTTTACTTGGCCGGGTGCGGTGGCGCATGCCTGTAATCCCAGCACTTTGCGAGGCCGAGGCAGGAGGATCACCTGAGGTCGGGAGTTTGAGACCAGCCTGACCAACATGGAGAAACCCCATCTCTACTAAAAATACAAAATTAGCCGGGTGTGGTGGCGCATGCCTGTAGTTCCAGCTACTCAGGAGGCTGAGGCAGGAGAATCGCTTGAACCTGGGAGGTGGAGGTTGTGGTGTGCCGAGATCGTGCCATTGTACTCCAGCCTGGGCAACAAGAGTGAAACTCCATCTCAAAAAAAATTTACTGAGGAGATCAGTGGTTTTATATATAATTTTTTGATATTGTATAGTGAAATTTTTCAATATTTGGTAGAACAGTACAATCCAGTGGAGTAGTATTTTCCAAATGACTAATCCACACTGTTACAAAAACGGGTGGAAGATCCATTCAGAGAGCAAGACAGACCAGGAGATATTATTTAACTTTATTTATCTTTGTTTTTTGAATCAGAGTCTTACTCTGTTGCCCAGGCTGTAGTGCAGTGGCACGATCTCAATTCACTGCAACCTCCACCTCCCAGGTTCAAGTGATTCTGCAGCCTCGGCCCCCAAGGAGCATGCGCCACCACTCCCAACTAATTTTTGTATTTTTTCGTAGAGACACGGTTTCACCATGTTTGGCCAGGCGGGTCTCAAACTCCTGACCTTAAGTGATCCGCCTGCCTTGGCCTCCCAAAGTGCTGGGATTACAAGTGTGAGCCACTGCGCCTGGCCGATAGACCAGTACATTTTAATGCAACAGTGTAAAAATCTTAATATGATTTCATATTCCACATCGTAACTAGACTTCGAAAGTTATTGAATTTTGGAGTAGTATTAACCCCATAATTATATATAGGTTGTAATTTTAAAAATACATATATTTAACCAAAACAACACACTGCAACAGGCTAAATGCAGATGTGAGAATTTAGCTGGCTTGTTTTAAGCCAGCCAGCCAGCAAAAAGGTTTGCAAAAATAGAAAGCAGTGTCACTGTTCTCACTACATTTTGTGTTTGTAATGAGTATTTAATTATTTTAAGGAATTAATAATTTGTAGGTTTCTCTGTTTTAATTTCTGTGTGATAAATATGAACAGACACAGCCCACACACGCAGACCCTCCTGGGAGTTTTCCGTAATTTTTAAGAACATCGATGACTGAGACTCACGAGTTTGAGACCCACTGATCTCATATATACGCCTGTTTCATTGATTCTCAGATACAGTTTAAGGTACATGTTATTATCATTGTTAGTAATGGACTTAATCGTGTAAAAAATCTCTATATAGTTGTATCATCATTTTTAACAAAAAATTCGATTTTCTTATTTTTACTTTTTTTAAATTCAGGAGCAGTATTTTTCCTTAAGACCTGACCTGAAGACGAAAAGCTATGGCAATATCAGTGAGCGTGTGGAACTGAGAAAGAAGTTGGGCTGTAAATCATTTAAATGGTATTTGGATAATGTATACCCAGAGATGCAGATATCTGGGTCCCACGCCAAACCCCAACAACCCATTTTTGTCAATAGAGGGCCAAAACGACCCAAAGTCCTTCAACGTGGAAGGGTAAGAAAGCTGTTTTTTCCAAGTGGCTTATGAAAAGCGTTTGATATGAAAAGTTTTGAGGTGTCCATAAGCTATGACAGGTGACACTGTGGACTTAACAGAGTGTAATGACAGGCTTCAGCTTGCCTTTCATTATATTCTCTTTATGGGAACTTCTCTACGCAAGTGTAGGACCTCAAGTGTAGATCCTTGCCTTGCCGGCATAGCTGCCTTCTGTGAGGGTAAGTTATGTGACGCTTTCCAAGAGCGCAGAGGCATATGGGAATACACCCCGGACAGAGGCCATGGAAGTGTCAACTTCGTGTGTCAGAGGCCAGGCCAACAAGTGGAGAAATGGGGCAGTGATCTGCTATTTGCTCTTAGCTCTGGGAACCAAATCACAGAGCAGAGGTGGTAGTGAGGGTCAGAGTGGGGACATGGATTTCATGCCTGGTGTTCCCAGAAGTCATCTGAGCTCAGCAGAAAGCACATTGATCAACCACATTTCCTTAGCTGTCTTTGTGTCTTAAACTCATTACAGTTATATAGTCACAGTTAAATTGTAGGGGTCCGGCCATAAAATCATCCCCTTCTCCTGAGTCATCTCTTAGAGTTGGCTTCTAAAAGCTAAGGGCAGGTACTGTCTGTGTTGCCCAGTGTCCCTTCTTTTATGAAGAAGGCACTTCTCCCAGAGCAGTGTCAACTCTCCCTCAGTGGCTAGGAGGAAGCCTAGAGCTTTCCCCCTTCCTCTTCTCTCTACCCTATAATAAGACAAAAACAAACCCAGTATCAGGATGTTTAGTGTCAGGTGTTTTTCTCTAAGTAGGAGAGAGCAGTGTGTGCCCATGTAGTTGATCGCTTACCATTATTATTTCTTGCTGTTTGTCTCACCCTCGCAGTTCTGTGATAGTTGTCACCGGTGTCTCTCCAGTGTAGCATGCATATTGCATTTCATTGTGTACTTTTTTATACATGTTGTTCTTATATCCCTGACTTCATTTGAAGGTTCTTTAGGGCAGGGATGACATTTTAATTTCTTTCATCTGCTGTAGATTAGTAAACATGTATATGTAGCTAGAATTCCTAGCTGACACTGTCTGCATGTTAAAACTGCTAATAACTTTTGGAGTTATAACTTTTGTCTATCTTGATGCTCCTGTGTTCTGAGGCTAGAACTTAGGAATTAAAAATGCATATATTTTTATGAGCCTTGGAATTCGTACCTCCGGAATAACCTTTCACATTTTGCCTGGAACCACCTCCAGGCTTGGGAGGCGTCTCTGGGATTGTTTCCCACATTCTGAGCTGTGCCTTCTCTTACAGCTCTATCACCTCCAGACCAACAAATGCCTGGTGGCCCAGGGCCGCCCAAGTCAGAAGGGAGGTCTCGTGGTGCTTAAGGCCTGTGACTACAGTGACCCAAATCAGGTGAGTGACACCTCGGGGCTCACAGCCAGTGTCCGCAAGGAGGCTTCCAGTGTAGGGAAGCTGCTGCCAGTCACTCCTGAGGACATCAGTGTCTACTATTCTGGCTTTTCTTAACCCATTTCTGTGTAGTGTTGCGTTATTGGAACGCTAAGCTTATGGGGGTTATCTATATCCTAGTGCTCAAGGTCACCGCCAGGGTCTGATTTTTCACCGAAAAAAACTGCAACCTCCAGCATAAATGGGTTAAAAGGAAGAGAGTGGCCTTAGATGACACCTCAGTCAGCTACTTTCGTCTCCTTTGTATGTTTTTCCTATCTCTGCTCGTCGTCATAGAGCATTTTAGTTGTTTACACCATTATTTGTACTTTCTAATATTATGCGGAATAAATTGTGACTTACGAGCCATAGGAATTTGTTAGAAATGGCCAAGGGAAGCACTACAGAATTTCAGTTGATTCCATTCACCTAATTTCATTTCAGCTTATGTATGTCTCCTAAATAATATTAAAACGGGCCTAAAAATCAGCAAATAACTTCAGTTTAGAACGGTAATTTCAAACTCGTTTATGTCTGATAAAATAGCATAATGGAACAGCAGTCTAATCTCATAAATTGTAGTGTCTCATTTCTATTTTAGTGGTGGGTTGGTGTCACTCAGAAAGGAAAAAAAAAGCCACTTGGGCTTTTGGGTAAATAATGTGTGCTGTGATGTGTGCTGTGAGATGTCATCCAGCGCTCCACCAGAAGAGGTCACGCCCACTGTCTCAGGTGATACGTGTGTTGAAAATGTAGTTTAAAAGGGATTTCTGGGGCCCAGTGCAGAGGCTCATGCCTGTAATCCCAGCACTTTGGGAGGATGAGGTGGGCGGATCACAAGGTCAGGAGTTCAAGACCAGCCTGACCAACATGATGAAACCCCATCTCTACTAAAAATACAAAAAAAATTAGCTGGGTGTGGTGGTGCGTGCCTGTAATCCCAGCTACTCAGGAGGCTGAGGCAGGGGAATTGGTTCAACCTGGGAGGCTGAGGTTGCAGTAAGCAAAGATTGTACCACTGCACTCCAGCCTAGTGACAGAGTAAGACTCTGTCTCAAAAAAAAGAAGGGATTTCTGTGCATCTTCTGGGTAGAAGAGGTGGCAGTGTTGTGGAAGTATTAAAATCGCGGTGACGCAGTTTCAGTGGTGTAGGTCACAGTGAGATGAGAGCTGAAATTTGTTCCAGAAAATATAAGTTGGGGTGATGGAGTTATCCTATTCTAAGGCTAACTTAGTTATGCTTATTGCTTAGTTATGCTTATATGCATAGTTGTGCTAATTCTGTAGCCACTAGTCACATTTCAAGTGTACAATAGCTGCATGTGGCCAGTAGCTCCCTTATTGGACACAGGCTATGAGACAATAACAGTGTTGCAGAAAATTCTCTCACAGCTCCCTATGACTCTGATTCAGGGTCTTCATATTAGTGAACACTGCACACATCCATTTGGGTTCTATGAGTTGAAGCAATGAGTAAATAGAACAGAAGAGAATAGGTTCCTTTTGAGCATAGTGATGGCGCATGTTGGAGAGTGAGTTGTTCACTGCACTTGCCATGTCACCCAGTTGTGTTCCTGAAGATAATCTGTGATTCAGCCTGTGCACTTCCTGACTGCCCCGATGAGGCATCGACGAAAATGGCAGCCGTGTGCCCTTCTGTCTCCAGAGGGTCAGCCAGAGGCTGTCGGGCTCCTCTGTCACCTACACAGTCCAGGAATTAAGAGAGTTATGTAATTGTTAAACCCTAAAATTGGAAAAGAGTTAATTCAGTCAAATTCAATGAACAAAATTCAGCCACTGCTTAGGTTTCTTCCCAGAATAGCACCTCACTTTCTCCTGCCTTAGCTATCTGAAGTGGAATGAACCAAGTTGAAATCTGCTTCCCTGTAAGTCTAGTGCATTGGTCTGTTTCTGCTTTGAGACCTTACAGAATCAATATGTGGAAGAATATGCAAAGTGTTGTTCAGTCTTAAAATTCGTTATCTAAATTTTATTTTATTTTTCTTCTCTAGATCTGGATCTATAATGAAGAGCATGAATTGGTTTTAAATAGTCTCCTTTGTCTAGATATGTCAGAGACTCGCTCATCAGACCCGCCACGGCTCATGAAATGCCACGGGTCAGGAGGATCCCAGCAGTGGACCTTTGGGGTGAGGAGTGCTCGGTGATGTTGGGAGAATGCGCAGAGGCCCACAAGGTTGAGTGAGGGAGTGTGGCAGATGAACTCATTTTCTACCTTGGGGGTGGTCTTCTCAGTCTGCAGTACAGTGGTCCCCCCAGAAACCACAGGTAGTACAAACCCTGTATATACTGTATTTCTTTCTAGAGATACACCTGTGATAAATTTATCAATTAGGCACAGTAAGAGGTTCACAACAATAACTGAAATGAAACGGAACAGTTAGAACAGCATACTGTGGTTGCGCAGTGGCTCCCGCCTGTAATCCCAGCACTGAGAAGGCGGAGGTGGGCGGATCGCCGTAGCCCAACAGCCTGTTTGTTTTCTCTATAAAAACAAATCAGTATACTATAATACAAATTGTGATTGCGGTCAGAAAATATCTTATTGTATTGTGCTGCAGATAACAAACAGCAGAAAACTAACCTTTGGCTAAGAGGGGACTATTGTATCCCTTAATCTGAATTCTTAAGTGCTCCATCTCTCCTCTGGATTTCCATGTTTTGCCAGTAATTGGCAGTATTTTTTTGTTGCTACCTTTTTTTCAGAAAAACAATCGGCTATACCAGGTGTCGGTTGGACAGTGCCTGAGAGCAGTGGATCCCCTGGGTCAGAAGGGCTCTGTCGCCATGGCGATCTGCGATGGCTCCTCTTCACAGCAGTGGCATTTGGAAGGTTAAGGTGGATGCTGTGGTGGGAACGTTGCTTCATCAGGCGTTGCCTCCGGTGTGGAGTTTGGGGCTTTAGGAAAGCCTGGGTTGGGTGGAGCAGAACCATCTTGGAGAAGATGACAGTTCCCTGTCCTCCCGGAGATGCCTGGGTGTGTTAGCAGAGGTGACACGTGTCTGACAGAGACGGGAGCTCTGAGTGTCCACGGGTGAAGAAGTGAGTGTCCACGGGTGAAGAAGTGAGTATGTTTCACCTGGACATTAAGGTGATGTTTGAGCTGCTGTTAAGGAATTTCTTGCTTATAGAGGCAAACCACAGTATCATTTTAACTCTAGAATTGGGCTTGTACAGAAGGATAAAACCCAGGAAAATGGATATTTCTATTCAGATTTATTTATGCCTCTTTTTAATCCCCTTTAATGATGCAGTGGTTTTTATCTGATCAGGAACTTGTCATGATTTCCTTTCTTAGACTTCATAGGAGATAGTGCTTTAAAAAAAAAAAAAACTTCTATTATTTGTTTAGTATGTTGTAAGTAGATCATTTTAAAAAACTGAATCTATATTATGTTTAACTTCAGAAGGCATCATTTATAAGACAGTATGGCAGTTAATTATAAAATTATTTTGATGAATTATGATACAATCTACATAATAAAGAATCCTTTTGATTATTTAGGATATTTTGTCTTGTATTGGGGCCTCTGGTCTGAGGTGTGTTGCATGCTCTTGGATTCAGGTGATGACCCAGTAGGCTCGGTAGAGTCCTCTGCCTCTCAAGACGCGTCCCAGTTTCTTAGCTTGAGCTGTGTGACCTTAGATACTGGACATCAAAGTTGCCTGTGCAGCACCCAGGGAGAGCTGCTCAACCGGCAGTTGGATATAGAGGTCAGACTCTTGGAAGACGTAGCTCAATTAGAGAATACATTTGGGAATCACCTGCATATACTAAAAATTCTGAAATATAAAGTGAAGTTTCCTCCCAAACCACATCTTAAGAGGAGAGATGGTCTCATATTGCAGGGGATGCACTCAGATATTTTATCTGAACCACAAAACAGTTTGCCACATCCTAAATATTTTATCTGTCATTTGACTTCAAAGGCCAGGATGGTACATATGGAAAACAAGAGCAGCAAGATGGCAGATTGAAATCCAACAGTGTCAATAATCACATTAAGTGTAATGAATGTAAATGCCACAGTTAAAAGGCAGATTAGATAAAAATGCAAGATCCAACTATATGCTGCCTGTAAGAAACTCACTTTATGAATACATTAAAATTAGAAGGATGGGAAGATAGATATATGAAAGACATCTGAATAGATAGACAAAGTAGATTTCAGCACAGAGAATATTACTACAGATGATATAGAGGGTCATTTCATGAATAAAAGGTTCAACTTATCAAGAAGAAATAATCCCAAAGTTCTGTTAAAATTGCAAGAAGTACACGCATCCACAATTGTAGTAAGAGATTTCAACACACCTCTCAATAATTGATAGAACAAGTAGACAGAAAAACAACCATCTTGGCCTAATTGACACTACCCAGCAACACAATACTTGGAACATTTACCAAGATAGACCATATTCTGGGATATTGAGCAAGGTGTGATATACGTATAGAAATTCAAGTCATGCAAAGTAGAATAGAAATCAATAACAGACACTTGGAAAAATCTCCAAATATTATAAAAAACTAGCACACTTCCCAATACCTTATGGGTCAGAGAAAAAAATCAAAAGGCTATTTTGAACTGACCAAAAATGAAAATACAACAGTGTGTGGCATGCAGCTGAAGCAGTACTTGGAAGTTTTATAGCATTAAGCACCTATATTAGAAAAGGATACAAGTCTCAATGACTTTAGCTTCCATCTTAACAGAAAAAGAGCAAGTTAGACAAAGAGGCAGAAATGAAATATTAAATACCAGAACAGAAATGAATGAAACAAAACAGAGAAAATAAAGCTAAAAGCTGATTTGAGAGATCAATAAAATTGATAAACCTCTAGCCAAAAAAAAACAAAAAACAAACAAAAAAAAAAACCACCCTGAAATTACCAACATCAGGAATGAGTTGCAAGCGCACTAGAGTCTACAGATACTAAAAAGCATGCTGAACAGCAGGAGCTCTGATTCACTGCTGGTGGGAGTGCAAAGTGGTACAGCCACTCTGGCAAGTTTCTTCCTAAACATACTCTTAACCTATGATCCAGCAGTTGTGCTCCTTGGTGTTTACCCAAAGGAGCTGAAAACCACACGAAGCCTGCACATGGATTTTACAGCAGCTTTATTCATGACTGTCGAAACCTGGAAGCAAGATATCCTTCAGTACAGGAATGTTTTATAGCAGCTTTATTCATGATTGCTGAAACCTGGAAGCAAGCAAGATGTCCTTTAGTACAGGAATGTTTTATAGCGGCTTCATTCAGGACTGCCGAAACCCGGAAGCAAGATGTCCTTTAGTGCATGAATGGATGAACTATAGTACATTCAGACGATGGAACATTCAGTGCTGAGAAGAATTAAGCCATAAGCCTTGAAAAGTCATGGAGGGATGTTAAGAATATATTACTCAGTGAAAGAAGCCAATCTGAAAAAGCTACATATTGTACGATTCCAATTATATGGCATTCTGGAAAAGGCAAAGACAAAAAGATCACTGCTTGCTAGGGGTTATGGGAGAGTGTGATGGTTGATTTTATGTCAACTTGACTGAGCTAAAGAATGCCCAGGTAGCTGTAAGACATGATTTCTGCGAGTGTCTGTGAGGGTGGTTCCAGAAGAGATTAGTGTTTGAATCAGCAGACTCAGGAAAGAAGATCCTCTCTCACGAATGTGGGTGGGCACCACTCAATCCATTGGGAGCCCAAATAGAACAAAAAGGTGAAGGAAGGGTGACTTGCTCTCTCCTTGGAGCTAGATGTCAGCGTTCTGGCTCTCAGGCCTTTGGACTCAGACCAGGACCTGCATCATTGGCTCCCCTGGGCCTCAGCCTTCAGCCTTGGGCTGGAACAACATCACTGCCTTTCCTGGGCTTCCACCTTGCAGGCAGTAAATCATAGAGTATCTCAGTCCCTCATAATCTTTCTGTATTTCTATACATCCTATTGGTTCTGTTTTTCTGGAGAACCCAGCTAACACAGGGAGGGAGGGATGAGCAGGTAGAGCACAGACGATTTTTATATCCTACATGAATATAGAAAAATTTCCTTACAAAAATTAGCAAATCAAATCCAGCAACATATAAAAAGGGTGATACATTATGAACAATTTGGTTTTTGCCCAGGAATGCAAAGATGGTTTAACATTAGAGATTTGATTACGATAATTTACAGTGTTTGTTAGTAATACAGGGGGAAAGGCATACGCAACCTTGCAGGAAAAAAATGTAGAAAAAAAATTGACAGAATTCAACACCCACTTATGATAAAAACTCAGCAAACTAGGAATGGAAAGAAAATTCCTCAACTTCATACAGTGCATCTATGGAGGTACTATAGCTAGCCTCATACAGTGTGAAAGATGATAGGCAACAAGGCAAAGACACCTGTTCTCACCTCTCCTAGCCAGCGCAATACAGCAAGAAAAAGAAAGCCATGTACATTAGGAAGGAATAAGTAAAAGTGTATTTATTTGCAGACTATGATCAAGTAATGCAGAAAATCATAGGACGTCTTCAAAACTACTATTTATCAGGACCACAAAAAAATCAATATAAAAATGAATACTTCATATTGGCAACAAACAGCTCAAAACTGAAGTTCATGGTATTGTGATTGCAGTTTACAATAGTATCCAAAATATAAGAATTTAGGGTACATATGACAAAATATGTGTAAGAGTTGTATGATGAAAAGTAGAAAACATTGCTGAGAAAAATTAAGATTAAATAGAGAATTATACTACATTCCTGATTGGAAGGCTCAGTGTTAATAAGATGTTAATTCTCCACAATTTGATCTATGGATTTAATGCTACTTTTAATCAAAATCCCAGTACGCTTTTTGTGGAAACTGATAATTTAATTTTAAAATTGATATGGAAATGCATAGGACTAAGAGTGGCCAAAATAATTTGAAAGAAATAAAGTTGGAGGATTTACACTAATTCGACTTACTATGCTGTGGACTTACGGATAATGAATTGATTGGTGGAAGAGAAATAGACCCACACATATATGGCCAATTGATTTGCAGCAAAGGAGCCAATACAATGCAGTGGGGAGGGGAAAATTACTATAACACATGGTGCTGCAAGAATCTGATATCCCTGTGGACAGAAATTACCTGTGACACCCCTGCCACTACCTTATACCACAAATAAACATTATTTTAAGATCTAAACATAAAAACTAAAATTACAAAGCTTTTAGAAGAAAATGTAGGAGAATATCTTCATGACTTTAGGGTAGGCAAAGATTCCCTAAGCACTCATTAAAGAGCCAGCCATTGGCCAGGCCTGGTGGATCATGCCTGCAATCCCAGTACTTTGGGAGGCCAAGGCAGGAGGATCGCTTGAAGCCAGAAGTTTCCAGACCAGCCTGGTCAACATAGTGAGAACCCGTCTCTATTTGAAAAAGATAAAGGCCAGGCACAGGTGGCTCATGCCTGTAATCCCAACACTTTGGGAGGCCAGTGTGGGAGGATTGCTTGAGCTCAGGAGTTAGAGACCAGCCTGGGCAACATAGTGAGATCCTGTCTTTAATAAAACTTTTTTTTTTTTAAAAGAACTAGCCATAAAATATTAACAAATTGAACTTCAGAATTAAACTTCTGTTTATCAAGACACCATTGAGAAAATGAAAAAAGCCACAACTGTATTCAAGGGTTTGTGTTTAAAATTCAGTACTAAAAAGACAACCCAATTTTCAAAATGGACAAAATATTTGGATATGTCACCAAAGTATAAATAGCTCAATATATGAAAAGGTGTTCAGTATCATGGTCATCAAAGAAATGCAAATTAAAACGACATTCAGATGCCACTTTACATCCATTAAAATGGCTGAAATAAAACAGACCCACATGGGGGCTTCTCAGGAAATTGCAGGAAAGGTTGCAACACAGCTTTCAGATTTTGCCTAGTCAACATCCACATAAAATTAAAGCAACTAGAGAGGCAAACCCAAAACCCATGGATGGTATTTTCAAAGTAGGTAGGTGGCAAGGTAGCTGCAAATTCTCTAAAGCAGGTAGGAGGAGCTGGATGCCTGAGACCTGTGTGGCAGAAAGCCAGGCAAGCTCCAGGCAGACGGTGTGTTGAGGAGCGGAGGACATGGAAAGGCAATGGTGGCCGCAGGAAACCGAGGAATCAGTGCAGCAAACACTGCGGGGGCGTCTGCCTCTCCAGCACTAGGCAGCGGCAGGGGTCCCTGGGGGAGGGAGGGCTTAGGGGATGAAGACTTCTAGTTCCTTTGAACTGATGAAACTGCCAGGGAGTGGAATCAAAATTGAGCAAGACAGGGATAATAGAGAAACAGTAGTAAGTGAATAAGAATAAAGAAAAAGGACACAGCTTGGAGAAGTAGAGGGAAGTGAAGCCAAGCATTGGCAGAAGGAGTGACCATAGCTTTAGCAGTGCAGGAAAACAGAAGAGGGAGCTCTGCGAGGCTGGGAAAGCCGTCTGAGCCAGGCTGCCCGTGTGGGAAAGCCGTCTGGGCCACGCTCCCCGGTGTGGGAAAGCCGTCTGGACCAGGCTCCCCAGCGTGGGAAAGCCGTCTGGGCCACGCTCCCCGGTGTGGGAAAGCCGTCTGGACCATGCTCCCCTGCGTGGGAAAGCCGTCTGAGCCAGGCTGCCCCACGTGGGAAAGCCATCTGGACCATGCTCCCCTGCGTGGGAAAGCCGTCTGGGCCACGCTCCTCCATGTTGAGAAACTCAGTTCCCACCAGATGAGCAACAGAAGACGATCAAGGCCAAGTCCCATACAAAGTATAAGAAGAAAAAGAGAGCTAAATGGCATTTGTATAATGAAAGCACTCCAGAAGGAGATGCTCACAGAACCGACCCAAACTGTAACATACTGATTCAAAAATGAGCTTAAGTTATGAGGAGAGTGACATGAGAGGACCAAATACAGCAAATCTGAAAACTCAGAATGTGGTGGCAGAACTCAAGAAGTGTGAGAAATTAAGAATAGATAAGGAGGAACACGGGGGCAAAGACATAATAAGGCCTTTAAAAAAGTAGAATTTGACAAGAAGGAAACATTTTAAACAAAAAACACAAGTTCTGCTTCTGGCCAAGAAGGAGTAACAGGATCTGGGCTTGTCCTCCTGGAGTAAAAAACTAGAGACTAGAAAGAAAAACATGCAGAACCTCTTCAGCCAGTGGCTCCCAGGGAGTGGCGGGACAGTAAAGCCCCAGAAACGGGTGAGCCCAAGACTCTCCCCACCTAGGACAGTTTTCTGACTTTGGCATAGGGAGGGGAACTTAAAAAGAGGCCCATCATCCTGCAGGTCGAGATGGACACCAGAGTCCAGGGAGGCTAAGGTGGCTGGAATTCGCATCGGAGGATGAAGGAGAGGAAGGAGCTAAACAGAGAGAAGGGCCAGAACCTGCCCAGGGGCGCCTGGAGTCTAGCCGTGTTGCAGTCGGCCCGTGGAAACTTACTCCTGAGGCTGGGAGGCTCTAAACTGAACAGCTCCCAAAGATCAGGTGGGGCTGGAAATCACTGAAGCTGCCACCAGCCAAGTAACAGGCCCCACTGAGTATTCGGGGCGCCCAGGGCATTCCCCGAAGGGCCATGCCTTAGGAGTGGGGCTGGACTCGGCCAAGGGTAAAGACGCTGTCAGACTCGTCGGAAAAGTGCTTCAAGAACAAGCTTCCAAAGGTGGAAACCAGCCGGGCGCGGTGGCTCACGCCTGGATTCCCAGCACTTTGGGAGGCCGAGGCAGGCAGATCGCCTCCAGAGCAGCCTGGCCAACATGGGGAAAACCCGTCTCTACTAAAAATAGAAAAACTTAGCCGGGCGCGGTAGCACACGCCTGCGGTCCCAGCTGCTCGGGAGGCTGAGGCGGGAGAATCGCTCGAACCCGGGAGGCGGAGCTTGCAGCGAGCCGAGACCGCGCCAGTGCACTCCGGCCTGGGCGACAGAGCGAGACTCCGTCTAAAAAATATATATAACCGTCACCGGGAGAAAAAGGTGATTTAAACAGGCCTAGAGAGTTCGATCGGGAGCGGGGAGCGGGGAGCGGGTCCCAGAGAGCCCTGGGCAGCCCCACCGCCGCTGTGGCCTAGTTGCCACCACAGCCCGGGAGGAGCCCAGGCACCGTCACCCCCGCCGTTTGGGGAACAAATGGTTCAGGGTAAGCAACAGATACGGTTTCATCAACAGGAACGTCACCAAGGAAGATGTGTGTTCATCAGACTGCCGTGAAGGAGAACCCCGGGGAGGACCCTGGCGGCGGGGGAGCTGCGGAGGCCGCGGAGTCCGATGTTGAGGGAGAAAAGGGCGAGGCGGCGGCAAGTGTTCCAGGGCCTGGTGGGGCCCAGGTCAAGGCAGTAAACCTGCGGCCACCGTAACCACTGCAGACGCGGGACCTCCCCGCCGTCACCGGCAGAATCACCAGAATCCTCCGTGGGGAACGGAAGGAGGGATGAGACAGCGCTGCCGCGGGCCAGGCCCACCACGCGGGCCCCACCGCAGAGTCCCACTTTCCTCCATGGAGGCCGCAGTTCTCCAGCCTCCGGGGCGGCCGGGAGCAGCGATGCGGGGGTGACAGCGCGGGGAGCGGGGACACCAGCGGGGCAGCGAGTGTACCGGGGACGCAGACCACGATTCCGCAGGACCCACCTCACCCAAGACGGCCTGTAGAGGACAGCGAGGAAGAGGATAAAGACAATCCGGGAGATGAGACCCAAGGTCACCAGCCACCTCAGCACCGGGGCCGCCGCAACTTCGATTACCGACGCGGTCGCACAGAAAACCCTAAACCACAAGATGGCAAAGACACAGAAGCAGCTGATCCACCAGCTGAGAATTCCTCGCTCCAGGCTGGGCAAATGCGGCTGCTACCTCTACCATCACCCCGTTTAGTCATCAAACAAGAACTAGGAAATTCCAGCGATAAGAAATGAACGAAAATTGGAGCTGAAGACCCTAAGTGCTTGCTTTTCGTCCACTGACCAGATAACTAGAACTAGCTGCATTATCTGTGGGGCATGGGGTTTCCAATTATTTTTACCTAAAGACGTCTCTTTTTGGTAATAACAAAGTGTTTTTTTAAAAAGCCTGGTTTTTCTCAATACGCCTTTAAAGGTTTTAAAATTATTTCATATCTGCTCAAGTTGAGATTTTTAAGAACTTCATTTTTAATTTGTCATAAAAGTTTACAACTTGATTTTTTCAAAAAAGTAACAAACTGCAAGCACCTGTTAATAAAAGTCTTAAATAAAAACGAACAGGCCTAGCAATGAAAGGATGGAATCAGCACACGCCGGTGTTGAAAACGGCTTTGACACATAGGCTCAATGTGCTAAAAAAAAAAAAAAAAAAGAAAAAGAAAAAGAAAAATTACAGGAAAACTTGAAGATAATGAGGATTGAAACTGTCAAATCAGAACTGGTCAAGGTTACTAAAAATAAGGCAAATCTGAGAAACTACCAGATTACTAGTGTCCCAGAAGAGGCTAAGAGGACGTGAGGACCAAGCACCACGTGGTGCCTGAGCCGCGTCCTGGAACAGAAAAAGGACATCATTGGAAAACCCGGTAAAACCTAAGTAGCCTGCAGGTTAGTTAACAGCAACGGACCAATGTTCATTCCTTAGTTTTGACAAATGCACCACAGTTAACATCAGGCAAACGGGATGAGGAGTGTATGGGAACTCTCTGTATTATTTCTGCCACTTTCCTAAAAGTAATCCCAAAGTGCTCCCAAATACTATATCATTAATATGAATATAAAGTAATTCACTTTAGAGATCTGAAAATGTTCTCCATAAAATTGACAAGAAAAAATTGTAAACTCCCTAAACATCTTTCAGTTTCCTTTTTGTCCTCCTTCCCCGTTTTTTCTTTATAAATATGGATGTTTTAATCAAATAACATTATTTTTTACATAGTATATTAACTTACGCTATCAAGAGTATGTGTTTCCAAAAATCCTTCCTTCCTGTCTGAGTGGGGGTCCGCAGGGAAATGAGAAGGCGCGCATCTCTGGCTTCTTGAAGAGCTGTGAGGGAAGGGACTATGACGGTGTTGGCAGCCTCAGGGGCACGGCCACCTCTGAGCCCGAAGGGTGAGAAGCAGCGTCCGGAGCCGTAGGCCTAGACACAGGCAGCCGCTCCACCACCAGACAGCAGGAGCAGAAACACCCAGGTCCCTTGTCCTGCCTCCCGGCCTCCCCCCACAGCTCCCACTGGCTGAAATGAAGCAAGAGCCAGGAGACCAGAAGGGTCAGCCCTCTGGACCCAGCAGAGCAGGGGGGATTGCGGGGAGGGAGGTGACCACCTGGCACTCTGCATTCTGCCCGTCCTCCCTCCCTTTTGTGCTGGAGAAATAGTTGCAAGCTAAAGTTCCCACCTTCAGGTGAAAGGAAAGCTTAGAAATGAAAGTGAGAAATGCTCTGATAGACTCACGTACCAAGAAAACACAGAACGGGGCTGCGCACTCCCACAGCGGGCAAGAGGGCGGGAGAACTTCCTGGAGCAGGCCAGGCGGCCTTGGGATGGACGAGGTCCCGGCGGAACGCACAGCAGTTAGGAAGCATCGAGGCAGGCGCATGCATTTCAAGGTCAGGGAATAGCAGGTCGTTCTGTTCTGAAAGCGAAGCGTCTTCCTGGCTGGGGCTGCTGGATTGAAGCCCTGAGCCGGGCAGGCTGCAGAGCGTGAGGATGGCGCGGGGCTCTGGTGTGGGCGCCTGGGAGCGGGTAGCTGCCATTCCGAGTGAGGAGATATTGGTGGAATGGTTCTGGGGAAGAGAAAAAGGATGAAGTCTCTGCAGTGGAGCTTCTGCGGGCCGAGTGGGCAGGCTGCAGGGTCGTGCCAGGGGTCTAGAGCTCAGAAGAGAGGCGTCTGGAACGCTGTTCCCACCATGTTGGGTTACGTTGTAGGTTTGGCCGAAGTCAGCGTGGCGAGAGCAGAGGATGAGAAGAGTTGAGAAAAGTGTGGGGGGTGCTAGTATTTAAAACGTACACACAAAGTTGAGGCTGTGGAGTTGGCAGCAGTGGGAATAGCAGGGCTGGAGTGAGGGAGGGTAGTGGGAGGAGGAGGGGTCACCTATGAGTGGGGCCTCCGCTGAGAAGTCATACACCTCGTGTGCTCCGCCTGCATCGACTTGTTCTTCAGGAAGCAAAGTTTCGTAAGGTTGCCATCAAGGAAGAAGGAATACTTTTAACATTTCTGTGGTTAGGATAAAAACTAGGTTAAAAGAATTTCTGGGACCCAGGAGTAGTGTCTTCAAAAACGAGAACCCTTGCAGGAACAGAGCATCAGAAACTGCACAGGGAGCCGCAAGCAGGCCTGCTCTAGGCAACGAGGGCGCTGGCCCCGGGACGGATGCTGGAGCATCCTCAGGACAAAGTGGATGGAGAGTCTGTAGTACCAGCTGGGACACGTCACAGGCAAAACCCTGGCACCAGAGACAGGGTCCCACTGAGATCTCGGCCCCTGAAGGGCTCGATGGACCCACCATGGGGTCTGAGGACACAGGAGCAAGCAGGGCCGGGATGCAAGATTCCCAGAGACCTGGAGTAAGGCTGTGGCTGACGGGGGATGAGCAGACAGCTGACCCTCCTAGCAAGTAGAACATGGCTTCCATTTTAGAAGGTCCTGAACGCTTGAAGGAGCCTCCAGGAACTACACATAAAGCTGTGCTGTCAACGGCACGGCAGGAAGAAAACGAGACTTCAGAGTGGCGCTGGGCACTGAGCTGGAGCACGGAGCACATTGTGCAAACGGGCACCGTCGGTCTACTCACCTCCCCACGAGAAGAACCTTGCTTTGCTGATATTTACCCAATTTCTTTAGATATTTGGGAAAGGATTCTTCAACTCTGCCAGAAGGTGATGGGAGCGGGAGTCCTCCCAGGCATAGCTGGAAACCTGATGGAAGTGCTGAGGCCGCCTTATCTAGGAACACATTTAAGTCTAGTAAGCACAGTTAAAAACATCATGATTCTGCCTCTTGGAACCTTAAGTCTCTCTCGTTACATGGTCGTAACTGAAATATTTAAATTTTTAATGTTTTAAATGTAGCACTTCTCATTTCAAAGCTTCTGCCAGTGTATGTGACAATGCGCCCCAGGGAACAGGCCACCGGGGGCTTTACTGCATTGCTGTGAAGCTGAGGGAGTGCTGGTGACTCTGCTGTTGAGACTGTCCTTTCCTATTACAATAGGGCAGGATGGCCCTAGGCTCAGGGCCAAAAGATAAAGTCAGACTCTGTGCCTTTTTTCTTTCCATGGTGTTCACAGCAAACAACCCATTCTTTGGAATTTGTCTACATTGTTCCTGGGCATTTGAAGTGGGACAGTTGTGGTGTTTCTGTCCGAGCCTAATAAAAAATGCACTAGTATCATAGAAGCCATGAATTACTGCATAGCTATGGTTTCCTGGAAGAGCTGGCTTCCGTTATTATTCTTTTAATTGAGGCAAGAACTTGCTCTGTCACCCAGGTTGGAGTGCAGTGGTACAATCTCAGCTCCTTGCAGCCTGGACTTCCCAGGCTCAAGTGATCCTCCTGCCTCAGCCTCCCAAGTAGCTGGGACTACAGGTGCGCACAACCTCACCTGGCTAATGTTTTGATTTTTTGTAGAGATGGGTCTTACTATGTTGCCTAGGCTGGTCTTGAACTCCTGTTCAAGTGAGGCTCCCGCCTTGGCCTCCCGAAGGCTGTTTTTCAGATTACTATTAAATACATACCTTAATGATGAAAAAAGAATGGGGTAGAGACCTTAGAGGGAAAAGATTAAAGCAGCAATGTGGGAAGAAAGCCAGGAAAGGGTTCTGCTCCACAAGCAGGGGCTGGAGAGAATTTCAGAGACAGCGGCTGCCACCGCCACCAGAGACAGGAAACCCTAATGGCCAGATGATCATCTACCGCATCGGACACCACATCAGACTAAGTGTGTTTGTTTCTGTTTGGTGACTAGGACAGAGGGCAGTGCAGCCTCCACGTGACATGGGGCCAAAGGAGGATAGGAGAAGCTGAGGAGAGACTTGAGACAAGGCGGTTTTGAAATGGGAAATGTTTGAGCCATCTACATGCAAAACACCTCAGCTGCTGCCAGCTCCCTCCATGTCACGACCATCCGCCTAGCCCAGGGCACCCCTTGCTCCTCCTGGGACTCGTACGGAGCCCACTCAGCCTCAGTGTACACACGCTGGTGCCCACAGGCGGGCCACCTCTTCTGGGCAGCGTGTCACCTCTATGCACAGTGGGAACTCAGCACCGTCCGGCAGCAGCTTCCTGCTGACCCACGCGAGCTAAACCTGCGCCACTCACCCTTGCTTTTCTCTCATCTCACCTCCTGCCACTCTGTCCCAGCCACACCTGCCTTTCAGTTACTGGCAGCATCAGCCTCTTTCAGATCTCAAGGCTCCTGTATGAGTTGTCCCCTCTGCCAGGCAAGCCTCTGCCACGCTCCCAGCTCCTCTTCATCCTTCAGGTCTTGCTTAAATGCTGCCTCCTTAGAATGCCCCCACGGGACTCCCAGCCCACCTCCCATCTAAAAAAGTCACCTGTTTTTGTCCGTGCCCCTCACTAGAAGGCAAGCTCCATGGTGGACTAGGAATGCTGGCTATTTTAGTGTTAGCGAAGTCCCAGTTAAAAATCTGTCCTAGAAACTAAAGGGGATTCTGAGCAGTTTTTTTCTTAACCCCTTTATATTTAATACGTTAAATAATTCAATAAGATAGAAAGAAAGTCTACCACATAGAATAAAGTCTGAAAAGCTGCCTCAAAAAAAAAAAAAAAAAAAAAAAAACAGCAACATAACCAAGACTAAATTTACCAATTAAACAAAAACAGGCTTTGAACAAGGCACCAAGGATATTCTAAATTTGGTAAACACCCTAAAAAGATACAGAAGTTCCCTTCTTTATTCAGTCGAAGGGAAGGAAAAAGTATCATAATTAGAATGAATTATGAATTTACATCTAAACTTATTTGAAAATCTAAGAAAACCAAGTTGATCGCATCAACACTCTAATTGTGAAAGATCTATCAGATGGTCAGTGAACTTCAGACAATCCTCAATTTAAGAGCTCAAATTTGAATATGAGGAGTTAACACAGAAGCTCTAGGCAGCTCTTATAGATGTAAAATATTTTATTTGTAAATGGTGATCTTCTAAATCTGTGTCCACAAATTCCAAAACCCATAACACTCTGTATACTTCAAAAAATTCAATTTTTGCCAACATTAGATACTATTATACAGAACAGAAAACAACAAAAACCCGGTAGGACAAATACTGGTAGGATGTCAGGATATTGTACAAGAGAAGAAAAATATTCAGGAAACAAATTTCATACAGCTATTTATCAAGAGAAAAATATATACAATTGATTTATTCTGTAAGATAAAAATACATCATGCCATATACAAGTTCAGAACTGCATCACTGAATATACCAACAGTTTACAGTCCACTTGAATTGTGCACACAAAACTTCATTTTATACTTAGCCTGTGAAGTGTCAGTACCAGAATTTTAAGTACAAAATAAAAAGCTAACCTGGTTCAAAATGCTGATTAAGTTTCTACAAGCAAACACAAAACAGTGTTTTTTTTATTAAAGAAATGTAAACAAACAGTTCATACAAACACATTTTAAAATTACATCTTCCAAAAACCCTATTGCCAGAGTCCTGCAGCTGTAAGCATAATCACATCTCCTTTTTTTTTTTAACTTTTTCAAATTTTTGTGTTAAATAGAAGGCTAAAGGGTTAGATTTAAGTTTCTGCTACATGATCCTATTACGTTTACATGATTCTCTGTGGCTGAAACAAAGTTCTAATCAAAACTACTTTTGCTGAAGAAAAAATTCAGCCTCCATTTGGGTGTATTTTTAAGCAGTTATTCACAGTTATCACAAATTGTAAGCACAAAAAAACCTGACTGAAGAAGTAGGGATGCAACAATATAATATGAAAAAATTAGTTTAAATTACCAAAACAGCTATAAAAGTTGTAGTCGTAGCATACGCCCCGCTCTGTCAGAAGTAAGGTGTATAAAACCATTGAGTACTAATAGACTGCGGTTTCCAAAAAACCCCCAACACTCTAGGTTGAAATTTTGGTTATTACATAATTATAATGGCATATTTTATAACACAAAATTATATTGTAACATCCCTATGAACATTTTATAAGCCCCCGAGCTGCTGCAGAGCCTGGTAGCATTTGGTCAATAACTATTTTTATACTGTATTTTTTCTCAAAATATTTACATATCTGTACAAAGTAACAGGGTTTGTTAGTTCTGCAGGTAACAGCAGCAGCTTGGCTTTCTTCTAACTTTATTTAAAAATAGCTTCATTCACTTATTCAATAATAAATACAAAAGTTTCTCTTATTTTACAGAAATCAAAAACTACAATAAACTGACTCATGGAATCAAGTATTTAAATGTATTTAGTGCAAGTTATTATCCCTTAGCTCTATCCCTAAGGAAGTCATTTCAGTACATTCCTTGTTCAGTGGTGTCTACTTTATTTAAAAACATTTTGAAGTTAGAGGGCCTGCCCCTTTTTAATAAGGCCGTGGCCAGCACTCTCTGTCCCCCTCGCTGGTGATTTCAGTCTTACATTCATAGGAAGGCCCCTGCCCGGGGCAGGGCAGCCATCGGCTCTTTGCCCCAGTAAAAGTTTCTCCTTAGTGAGACTAGAAAACCAAAACAATGAAACCCACCCACAAGGGAAAAACAAAACAAAAAACAAACAAAAAAAAAAGAAAAGGAAAAGAAAAAAAAGCAAAAGTGCTGGACCATTCTGTGATTCCGTTTAACCTCGGCCACTTCAGGAACGCTGCTTCTGTCAGCTTCCTCCTGGCGCTGCTTTAACCTAAAGGACTGAGGAAATCAGAACTCCCAGAAGCTTTTTCAAAAAGTCATAAAACAGAAAACAAAAATCTCTTTCTGTCTGCAAAATTCCAATGGTGTGTTGAATCGCCTCTTCCTAGGGACAAGCCGCCCGCTGAGCTAGCAAGGAATGCATTTCAGTTCATCCACTTCCGGCAGTTCACAGCTCCACAGTGACACGGAATCTTGTGCTGGTCATCTTCAAAGTCAAACTTATAGTCATAGCAGAGCTGCCCACGGCAAAGACACAGGGTAAGAAAGGACAGCAAGGAAGGCAATAGCGTTTCTGCCTCCATCTCCCTTGCATTTTAAAACCAGCAAACGAAACAGACGTAAATTAAGGAAGACCTGATTTATTGAGGTTCCATGGGACCCTGGGGGAACCCTGAAAAGAGGCATTGTGCTTGCACAGAGGAAATGAGGGAGGCAGTATTTTTAAACAGCGAGATCTGAGAACGGGAGCCTGACCAGAGAAAGCTGTATTTCTGTGACTTCTCATAATGCTGTCCCTGCAAGTGGATGGAGGGGACTGGAAGGGCAACTGCTTTCCTAGCCCTCTCCCTAAAACCCAGAAGCCTTTCACCTCCCCTGATTTACTGAATGGGGCATGCAATTCTGGGTGAGATGAACTGCCAGCTAACTCTGTTTTCCCTCCTTCATTTTTCCTCACTCAAGACTGAAAGGATGTCTTTCTATTTAGAGGTCACCAAATTAACATCTCAGACCAATCAAGGTAGGTGGGAGTCTGCGTGAGTCCCACGGTACAAGCCTCAGTGCGCGGCCCTGCAACCCCCACCACCCCAGAGAGAGCCGATGCTGCAAAATGAAGGGGAGGCCCAGGAATTTCTAGGTCTCTTCTGAGTGAAATGATTCTAGACGCTAGCTGGAAAGACCTTCTACACAGAAAGGAAGGAAACCAGTGTTTATTGAGCAGCTGTTCTTGGCAATGATTCCACTGCTTTCTTTCAGGTATCTGCTGAGTCCTTCCAAGAGCCTGGTAAGGAAGTCATTTTCTCTATCTTGCAGAAGATAAAATAGGGGCTCATATTAAACTATTTACTCAAGAATACTCAAGTAGGAAGGAGGCAGGTGGCCCTGGGCTGAGTCTCTTCTGACCACCATGGTAGCCATTGGTTACTGGCACTGTGCCAGGGCTCCCACACACTGTCTTATTTACACGTTACTTTGAGATGTATAACGGGCCTTGGGTCTAGTCGGATCCTTATTCTTGACTAAGAAAGGAGATTCCACAAAGACCCAAAATACAGATAGAATCCCACGAATCCCATGGCTATGTTCACGAAGGGAGAGGAGCACCAACAAAGTCAAGTCACTCAGGTGCCTCACTCCCCAAATGCGGGACGTTTCCTACAGAAACCAAGCCTGCTGCTCAGTGACAGCTTTCCAGGAAATGCCAATTCCAGAACCAAGGTACCTGAATCACAGTGGGAAAGACCAAGGTGGGAAGCAAATGCAGCAATTAAGGCCAAAAATAATCCCAATGGGTGAGCCGCCGGACCAGAGTCACCTCTGAGAGCACGGAGACAAACAGCAAGCTTGGCACTCGGCATTTTGAAGACAACAACCCACACCTGAACTGCTGAAGAATGTGGCGATGTGGGCACTTGGTTAAGCACACACTGATCGCCAGCGTGAGCACACAATCCTCAGCAGCACGGCGGCCCAGATTTGCCGCCCACAGCCCAACAGTGCCATCTCAGGAGCCACGGCCCCCTTGGAGAAGGACGGGGATGCTCTTCAGAGGGGACACTGCCAAACTGTGTCCAGGTTAAGGGGATAAAGAAGGATCCTATGGCACACAGAAATGATACCACCTGGGTGCCATGGGGATGCTGAACCCGTGGCACAGAAGGGAAGGGAGAGGTGACAGCAAATGCTCACAGAGCTGCCATGTGGAGGAAGGTGAACTGGAGTGCCTGAAGGGTGAGATACTGCAGGGTGGGAACATCTGGCCTATTATGGACAGAGTTTTTATCACAACAAAGAATTGGGAAACAAGTGAGTAAGTGACCTGTGTGAGGAGGGAACTATTCGCCCAGGATCTGAACAACATGGCAGATGCAATCTCTCACACTCTTACCTCTTCTCCTTTCTGGATTCTCCGACTGGAGCTGATGATAATTTTGTGTCCTCTCTCAAAAGTCACCACTTCAGCCACACAATTAGGTGCACACGAATGGTTGATATACCTGCAAGCCACCATGTCAGAAAACTGTATTGTAAAACAGCTAGAAGCAGCTTTAAAAACTTCCCATTTATTGATAAAGCAGTTTTTGCTAATTAAATTTCTATTTGCCCATTGTTAGAAGCACAAATATAACATTTAAATAAAAATTCTCAACTCATTTGCTCTGAATGTTTAGTCACCGCCAGGCTGCCGTGAGAGCCTTTCCCTTGGCTTCAGTGTTCTCTCCACCAGCACTGGCCCCACAAGCAAAAGCACTCCCCGTCAGGTTCCTCGCTGTCTCACCTTGCGGGCCCTCCTGTGAGCGTCGCGTCAATCACATGGTCGTTATCCATGCGGAACATGTACACACCACGGTTCTGAGGGAAAAGTCAGTCAGTAAGTCATCAATGTCGACCTGAAACTCCCCTCTGTGTTCCTATCCACACCAGGAGGACTCAGTCGAAACTGAACGGAACGGCAGCCTGATCATCCTTACTGTGGATATTCTATTAGGCACAGATGACATTTACATGGCACGAATGGAAAGCATGGAATCAGTAGGTTGTGTGTGAAGCCAGGCTCATTAATTTACAGTTGTCTATCAAAGTAAACTGTAACACCAATTGAAAGAGATACAACTGATAAAAATACACTAATATACAGATATGGCTTTTGTTTAAAGCTGAATGCAGCATGACAGATTTCATTCTGCCTTCCAGGGTGTCTGGCTGGCACGGAGAAAGGGAGAGGATGATGGTGCTGTGTATACAATCTCGGGGACCAGACACCTACCTGAGACTCATAAAGCTTCTCTTTCCTGTTGGCTACTTCGTTTCGAATGATAGTCCCGATGTACTCAATGACCATGGTGTGTTTCTCAATGTCTCGAGCAGCATACAGGCCCAGCCCCTAAAAAAAAGTGTGTACATACTTCCAATTTATGTGACAACAAGTCTTTTTTCTGTTTTTCATACAAAGGTTTCACCCTCGGGTCTTATTAGAAGCCATACTTAAGTTTCACTTGAACTCAAATCATTTTTGAATATGCTATTTTCTGAAATTTTAAAAATTGGACATTTTTACTACTTAAAACTATGCCATCACTAGCTTATTCCTACATCTTTTTTAGCACTAAATTCTTAGAGTCTATGTATAAAGTAGTACTGTGGCTTGGCTGTCTTATGTATTAGGCTATCTAACCTTCCAGATGAGATAGCTGAGTTCCCACCAACTAAATAAGCTTATTGACTTGTGGTGTTTATTTTACCCCAATACTATTTCAAAAAAGACATAATAAATTCAATAACATAGAAATCAGGCTAACTATAACCAATCACTGATACTGTAAACAGGGTTCAGACTTGGCTCTGAGTTTCCCAGCAGCCAGGGCAAAGAGCAGACACAGGAAACGTCACTCTGCTGTAAATATCAGGAATGTTGGAAACAAATGAAGCTCTTGGGGAAGGTAAATTTTTCACTAATACAAAATTCTGAGGCTGGGAAAGAAGTTTGAACGGGCTGAAATGGAAGCAGCTCTCACTGCGCAGCTTGTACTCCCGTGCTGGTGGCCTGCCAGGTGCACTATTCAGGTTGGTAGCACAACTTGTAGAGAAACATACTAACAAAATATGGGTCTTTGCCATAAATAGTTGTATTTTCTTGTCCCAATTTTGGGTTTTTGCACTTAATTCTGACTAGAAGGCAACTGAATGCAAAAGTACTAGACTAGATGCAACTGAATCAGAAGTACTAGACTAGAATGCAATTCTAGAATTGAACTGAATTCTAGAATGCAGAAATCAACTGCATTCTAGTCGGAATTACTAGGAGGACCATGTGCTGCCCCAGCTGCATCCTCATGAAGCACATCCGGGAGCACATGGTGGGAAGGGCCATGTGAGAGACTTTAGTATGTGAACTGATTTATCCTCTGAACAAGCATCTTTGATTATCTGTTCTACTCCAGATACAACTCACAAGTGAATGAACCAGAACACACAAAAAGTATGTATGGAGATCAATAGAGTGTGGTTTAAGAATAAACAAGATCAGTGGAAATGAAGAGATTCCAAATGGGCCAGGCGTGGTGACTCATGCCTATAATCCCACCACTTTGGGAAGCCAAGGCAGGCAGATCCCTTGAGGTCAGGAGTTCAAGACCAGCCTGGCCAACATGGTGAAACCCCGTCTCTACTAAAAATACAAAAATTAGCTGGGCATGGTGGCGTGTGCCTGTAATTCCAGCTACTAGGGAGGCTGAGCCAAGAGAATTGCTTGAGCCCCAGAGGCAGAGGTTGCAGTGAGCTGAGATCATGCCACTGCACTCCAGCCTGGGCAACAGAGTGAGACTCCAGAGGCTGAGGCATGAGAATCGCTTTAATCTGGGAGCCAAGATGGCACCACTGCACTCCAGTCTGGGTGACAGAGTGAGACTCCATCTCAGAAAAGAGAAATAGATCCCTGCATGTATGAAAATCTAACGTACAGTAGTAACTGGTATTAAAATTCAGTTTATAGTCAAGATTTCGTGGGGTTAGAAGAAAAAGGCCAGGTGCGGTGGCTCACACCTGTAATACCAGCACTTTGGGAGGCAGAGGTGGGCGGGTCACAAGGTCAGGAGTTTGAGGACCAGCCTGGCCAATATGGTGAAATCCCATCTCTACTTAAAAAAAAAAAAAAAATTAGCCGGGCATGGTAGTACACACCTGTAGTCCCAGTTACTTGGGAGGCTGAGGCAGAAGAATCGCTTGAACCTGGGAGGCAGAGGTTGCAGTGAGCCGAGATCGTGCCACTGCACTCCAGCCTGGGTGACAGAGGAAGACTCTGTCTCAAAAAAAAAAAAAAAAAAAATTCATGCCAGCCACGGGGGCTCATGCCTGTAATCCCAGCACTTTGGGAGGCCGAGGCAGGTGAATTGCTTGAGTTCAGAAGTTCAAGACCAGCCTGGACAACATGGCAAAACCTCATCTCTAAATAAATATTTTTAAAAATTAGCCAAGTATTGTGGCATGCGCCTGTAGCCCTGGCTACTCAGGAGGCTGAGGTAAGAGGATCGCTTGAGCCCAGGAGATCGAAGCTGCAGTGAGCTGAGATTGTGCCACCGCACTCCAGCCTGGGCGACACAGTGAGACCCTGTCTCAAAGAAGAAGAAAGAAAATCAGTTAAAAATGAGTGGGTTACTTCTAAATGGCCCTTCAACAACTGGTTATCCAATGGAAGAAAGCGAAATTGTATTTTAAAAATGTTATGCAAGAAAACCTCTAGAATCCGTATATAATCTAGGGTCTTGACCAAGACTAGATGCAACAGAAAATTATGTATGTTTGTTTATATAAACAGTAACTTTTACAAGAAAAAAGATGTCACACTTGCTGGTAGGCAAAGGATATTTTGTAGGGGAAAATTCTGAATAGTGTAAACTGCTAAAAATTGAAAAATGGACAAAGGATATGAATACGCAATTCCTATGAAAGCAAATCCAAATGGCGGACATGAAAAGCTGCCTATTCAATTAAGGTAACATCAGTCTATATTTATCAGACCAACTAAACAAAAAAATAGTAACACCAGCTACAAATGGGAAACAAGAAAACAGTCTCACATGCTGCAGGAAGAAGTGTGCAGTAAGAGACTTTTTAGAAAACTGGCAATATCTATTTAAATGAAAAGTACACACGCTTTTACACAGAAACCTCACGTTTGGGAATATACCCCATAGGAGTGAAACTATTAATTCATTGTGATATTTGTACAAGATATAGCAACACTGTTTGTTATGAGAAAAATTATAAATCAAATACACACTCATCAGTAATGCAATGGTTTAACTGCAGTTCATCAACACTATGGAACATCAGGTAACCATTCAAAAGAATGAAATGAAGCTACGTCAGTTGATCGAGAGGGACCTCTGATTATTACAGAGAAAAGGAAGACGGAGAAAAATAAATATAACATGATTCCATTTTTATATATGTACATAAAAGTGTATATAGTTCTAAGATATTAGCACAGAAAAACAGGATACATATTAGATCATCCACGGGATCCCCAGGGAGGTGGACAGATGGGAGGGTGGCAGGATGAAATAAGTAAAGAGACAGAAACCAGAGCTCTCAAAAATGCTTCAGGTTAAAGGTGACAGGTTGAACACAGTTAAGATACCCACTAAAATCACAGTAAAAGCACACTCCTCGAGAACACGAATGGGTATAAGAGTGAATGGACTATTTAAAATGAAAAGTAATTGACTTAGCAGGGGAAAGCTAGAACTGGAAGGAGTAGAGGCAAAGCACTAATTCACCCACAGAATCCGAGAGAGGCTCAACAGAGAGGGGCAACAGCAGAGAAAACACAGATACTCCACTCATAATGTAAAAACAAAATATCAAACAAGATCAAGAGCAGAAAGGGCTCGTAGCTAATCTCTAAAAATAGACAAGAAAGATTAGCAGATAAAGTAGAGGAAGTCTCAGAAAGAACAGAGAGACAAGGAAACAAAGAACAGAAGGGGAGAAAGGATATAAGACAGAAATTACTCTCTGACATGCATGAGAATCATCCAGGAGGCCCCACCTCCAGAGCTGGATTCAGTGAGGCTGGGCTGGGGCCCCCGAACCTGCACATCCTAACAAGCTCCCAGGTGACACTGCTGCTTCTAGTCTCAGGTCCACACTGTGAGATCCTGAATCTCAGGGGTTTTAGTGCAAACACAGAGGAAACAGAGGGGCAGAACTTGCAAAAGAATGAATACAAAACACATTTCTCAGACGGAAGGTCACGATGCTCCAGGTTGAAAGGGCTCATCAAGGGAGGAAAGCAATCAACAAAAAGACCTCCACTGAGGTGTAGTTCTGTGAAATGTCCAAATATCAATAAAGAGAAGATCCTACAAACTTCTAGTGAGGAGTAAAAGGGTTCCAACAAAGGAACAAGAATCTGAATGAGTATAGACAAAGGAACGCTGATCCAGTTTATAGGGTAAAGATACTTTGCTGGCTGCTGAGAGGGAACTGGATGGGAGGAGACAGCCAGGCCTGCAGTGGTACAGGCAAGTGATATGTGGCTCAAGATAGGGCTGGTAAACCTAAGAGTGGATCTGAGAGAATTTTTAGGAGAAAACAGAACTCGATGATGCTTTAGGTTTAATCTGGCAGTACTGAGGCCAATGTACACAAACGGTAACATCACTCAGCAAGGAGCTTGTAGGATGGCGGGGTTTAGGAGCTGGACAAGTTTGACAAAGTAAGAGCTTTGTAATTCCATTCTGAGACATCCAAGGAGAAAAATGCTGAACAGGCATTTGGATATTTGGGTCTGCAGCTCAGGAAGTATGGACTATAGGTGTAAACTTAAATGCTTAGCCTATACACGGCCTTACTTGTAAGATAGTCCACAGTCTACCAAAAAACATGCACTGATTTCATGAAACGGTAGCTTCCAAAAGATAAGGTAACTTCCAAAATTGGTGTACCTTTGGAAAATATTTTCATTTGTATTTCTCTCAAGTGCTTGAAACAGCTCTACTGAGCACTCCACAAATCCAGTGTGTGCAAATTACAATGCTACCTGCCTCCCAGGAGCTCTCAACAAGATGCAAAGATGTGGATTCCACTGGTCTGCTTTCCCTTTGGGGAAGCCAATCACCAAGTCCCAAGACTACATATTAAATCCCTAGTGTTACCAAGGGACAGGATTTGATACGATTTTGAAAACACGTTTCTGTCCCTGCAGCTATGTGAAATCATTTTCACATACTGGACATCAATAGCTTCAGATTGCTAGACTCCACCCTGTCTCTCCACTTCCTGTACACAAAGTATTTCTTCACCTGAATCCGAGACCGTGCCAGATACACATTGGATTTCCATTCAGTTTTCATCTTCCGGTACTGCGATGACTTGGAGTGAACAAACTGTTTACTATAAGGTGCGTTCAGTTCTCCAGTGACTGTGCTCTGAAATGACTTTGAGGTGCTGGTGCTGTTTAAGGTGTGAGGCCTGCAGACAATGGCATATCAACAGGAAAAAAATACAAGGAAAACTGAAGATACCTCTGAGTAATGCCCAAAACCAGGTTAATTCAGATTCTTACTGACAGAAACATACATGGAAAGCTGCCTAGCAGAGACACACGGCGAGTTCTCTTATGTAGTTGGGCACATACACAGCCAGACAGCAGGGTTTGTAAGCAGCAGACAAATCAAGCACAGGAAACCACTAATACGCCTAGAAACCCTGGGCTGTACTATGTGAAGTTAAAACAAAATACCTTAACACAAACCTCTTGACATGGGCACTCATTTTAGGTTCAGAACGGGCACAACCTGTGGGGTTAACGGCAAGAGGAAGTTCCATGAGAGGATTTCGGCCGTATCGGAAGGTATAATTTTCACATGCCTCAACCCCAGGAAGCTGAAAAGAAGCAAAGCAGACACAAAGTCACCCCATCTGATGGAGACTACAGACAATCTCAAGCTGGTCAAAGGATGGCCCACGACAGAAATAACTCATCAGCGTTTTCCCCGATAATAAAATGGTCTTCTAGCTTATGTTAACACTATTGGCCTGCAGGTAGATCTACTTAAATATGAGTATGCAAATTCAGTTTCAAAGCCAAACTTAGGTAAACCCTGCCAAATGCTCCTTGAAGAAAAAGATTAGCCCATGCAACAAACACTGGCTGACCAATATACACGCTTGTGTGATTTCAGGGCCTGACTGAAACACACAATACCCACAAACACAGGGCATGTAATGATTCGCATTGAGTTCTTTCCCCTGTATTAATGCCAACTTTTATATCTCTGTCTGGAATTTTACAATTAAAAACAGTTAAAAAATCATCTATATGGTTTCTTTCTTGATCGTTTCTCACTCCTTTCAATTTGACTCTGATGTGATGAGGTTATCGCTCTCCATGTCCTGGGAGCATAAAGCATAGGTGTTAACTCAAGCTTTACTCAAAGTCATTTACATGTTAAAGGTCTTTTCTGGAATACATTGCTTGTGAAATTTATTTCTCTGTAGTCATAAAAGATAAGTATCATTTAGGCAGGGCGATTCCAAAGAAAACAATTAGGCACATTACTCAGTGGCTTTTGGGGTTTCCTCTGCCTGTCCAAAGAAAACACACCAATGATATTTTTATTCTTGAAAACAATGCCTTAGAATCATACAATTTTCTAAAACTATTGTGTAGATATGGTTCAGTTAGACTCACTGACAAACAGGCTTGTAATCTTTTAAGCAAAGAAATGTCAAGAGAGGACAGAAATCAGTGCTGCTGCGATCTACTGCCCTCTAGTGACTTCATCCTAGGAAGAGGGCAGGAGAGTGGCCATAAATACCCAAGTGTCAGGAAATGGGCACACTGACATTCTGAGGTGGGAGAAACTTCAGAAAGGCAAGGGAAGAGGAGAGTGTCCTCACCCATCCAGCACACCCAGAAGATGTGACAAGCCTGGTGTCCTTCACCCCTGCTTGCCTCCAGCCTGGAAGAGAACCTGAAGTTGGTTAACTACCTCAACTGGGTGAATACCAACACGGCTGAGCTCTCCCGATTAATCACCAATGCCTTATTCCTCTAAGAGAAACGGGTTAATGCACAGGCTCAGTCACTTTCTGAAGAGTGCCACAAATGTTACAGCATGTGTTCAAGTGGTCACACTGAATCAGGAAAGCAATTCCAATCTCAAAGCCTGACCAAGACACTCACTGATTCCGCTATGCGTGCCACTGCAGAGACGGTCAGGCCAAACAGATCCTCTCCTTTTAAATACGCTGGGAAAAGCTGGAGCATTTCAGACTTTTTTCTCACACATGCCACAGGCTCCAAAATCTTATCCCAGACACCTACACAGGGACAAAAACATAATTTTTATAGGAAATAGGATACAGTATAAAAAACAAGAGCAAAATGAAGAATAACCACTCACAAGGATTTACTAATTTCCAAATAAATCCTGTTGGGCAATAATCTAATAAATCTGTTTGGTAATAATCTAATGAACCTGTTTATTAAATGGCAGCAATTTTTTTTAAAGACCTAAATTTTGGGGAAAATAATAGATTAAGGACATTAAAGTGAAAAAACTTAATGTAACTGAAATTCATGCAAACAGTTCATTTACTTTCATAGTGGCCATATAACATACCAGATTTTAAAATGATTAGTCTAATTGGTAATGTCTATAGCTATGTTCCTTTCCCCTCAGATTTAAATTAAAATGTTAAATTGATATTTTCTTTGGAATTATCTTTAGAGTATTTTCAGACTTTTTTTTTTTAAGTGCTAAACTTAAGAAAGCAGCTCCACATACTTTTGTTTGTGTACTTTCTACATAAGCAAAAGTGACAATCTAGACTTAACCATGGAGGTCCAAACTAAGTGTTTAATTTCCATCTCTAAACTTACGTAATATCTGATGTTCCTATACATTGTCTTATGACAATGTATACAGTATGATTTAGATGTCATTCCTGCCTTCTAGAAACTGACTTTAAGAAAAAGGGGGTCCCTGCCAGGTACGGTGGCTCACACCTGTAATCCCAGCACTTTGGGTGGCTGAGGCAGGTGGATCACCTGAGGTCAGGAGTTTGAGCCCAGCCTGGCCAACATGCTGAAACCCTAAAATACTAAAAATACAAAATTAAAAACTACTAAAAATATAAAAATTAGCCGGGCATGGTAGCGCAAGCCTGTAATCCCAGCTACTCGGGAGGCTGAGGCAGGAGAATCACTTGAACCCAGGAGGCGGAGGTTGCAGGGAACTGAGATCGCGCCATTGCAGTCCAGCCTGTGCAACAAAAGAGAAACTCCGTCTCAAAAAAAAAAAAAAAAAAAAAGAAAAAGAAAAAGAAAAAGGAGGTCCCCAATGCAAATGACAGGCAACCTTTATCTACAAATCATTCTCGGATTTACCTCACCAACTCGTATGTTCAAAGATATATTGATTATGAAAGTGTTTAGACAACTGTATAGCAAAGAGAGCAAGGTGTGAGAACACAAACATTGGCATTTGTAAATGAAAAATACACATTATAAAATATAAAACTAACATGAGACAAACATGGAAAATTGACAAAATACATTCATTAGCCTGACATCAGAGTAAGTAGCACTGCACAGCATGTGAACGGCAGACGTTACCTTTAGGTGAGATGTCACTTAGAACCAGGTCTTCATGGCCTTGTTCCACAATCCTGATGACAAACACTGGGCGCCCATCCTTCTCCTCAATGGAGCACAGGTAGCGGCAGCGCCTATTGGCATAGCGAGTGCTCCAGTACAGCCGGCTGGCTTCATAGCCCACAGGGAAGAGTGCTTTAGGAGAATGGAATGCTTGCATCTGCTGTGGAAGCAGCTGACCAATTGTGTGGAAGATGAGGCTACCCACGCGAAAGGTATGGTCCCGTTCTCCTCGTTGCACGATGCTAGCAATCTGTCGCACCTCATCACGCTGAACATAGACCCTCCTGAAGACTGCAAAGTAACTTAATTCTTGCTCATGAATTCCCTTTGGTTTGTGCATGGGGCAAAGCATAGTTTTGTCCTTAAAAAACATGCATTGTGCTTTAATGGCGCAAGTGAAGTGATAAATGTTGGTGCATCGAAATCTGTGGCATCCACTAGTGGCACCCGTCTTGTGACAGAAGACACATTTCATTTGTAGGCCTCTCCTCAGAGCTAGCTCCACATTTATTAAGGCACCAGCCTGAGTCTCATAGACCTCCGTGGACCACAGAGCGCAGTTCAAGTGGACCCACAGATCCAAGTCAAGGTTGAGTAGCCTTGCTGGTCCATCTGTCAATCCATCACCTTCTTCATGACAAAAGCAACATTTCCGATAGTCTTTGGGCACAGGATCAGGTTTAAGGGAAGTGCCCAATTTCTTTAGAAATTCATCTATTTCATCCTCACAAGGTGGTTTAAATGTCCCCTTAGGGATTACAATATGAATGCTCCACTTCTTCCATTTCATTCCTCTCCATTTTTTATTGAGCGGCCTGCAATCTTCAAACCCACCATGGACAGCTCTTAGCCGAGGCTTCAGCTTGACTGTCACCTTCAGCTCATCTGGCTTGGCCTCGACTTGGGCTGCTTCAAAAGCAGGAGGGAAGGCGATGGGTGGTGAGGCAGGGGGAGAAGCTTTCTCTGGGAGCTGGGGGAGACAGTGCACATCCAAAGTGGAGATGTTGTTGCTGTACTGATGAAATGCTTTGGAAGGCGTTTCTCTCATAGGTGATTGTGGCAATGAAGGAATGGATTCCTGGGCAACATAAAGAAACCATGACAAAGAAAAATAATTCACAAGCCCGGAAAGCAATTCTTGTTAAGACAAGAAGCTGAGCAGTATGACTGAAGAGGATGGGTGACCTGAGGGGCAGAGGGAGAGTCAGCAGTAAGTGCTGGGGGCTCATGCACCGCAGAAGCTGACCATGCTCTAAGGTGCACAGGGATAGAGAGCGGGTGATGGCAGCTGTGCCGCGTCCTTTCGAGGCCTTTTCCACAAAGCCATAATTCTGGAGAATATTCTGCTCTTACACTTTCTGGGACAATCCCCTTTCTAACTATATTAAAACCAGAAAAAGAAAAAACACACACACACTCACAATGCTGTCAGAAGAGCTAATATAATTTGTACAATGGAACAGTGTTTTTTGTTTAACCAAATAAGAACGCTGCAGCATCGTTTCTTGAGAGCTTATCTCCACTCTAAAATTCACATCTGTTAATCTCAGCCTTAATCAATTGGTGTAAATGTTACAGAAAGGGAAGGAGCCCCTGTCAACAAATGAATCATACTAACTTTTCTCTGAGGCTTCTCAGCTCTGATCCGGCTGCTGAAACAGTTGAGCTGAGGGGAAATCTCCAATAGCTTATTTACTTTATGGTACAGAGTATCATAAACTAATAAACACCAACCCACAGGCTGCCCTCTTTTCACATGCCCCAATCCTGACAAGGTATCTGAAAAAAGACATGCCTTATACCAAATCAGGCAGGGACTGCACACCAACTTAAACTATCTGGTGAAAAAAAAAATCCTTCTTGCATTTAGGCTGATGTATTTTAAGATCTAAATTTATTTGTCATCTAGCCTAGATTTTATTACAGGCATACTACAAACAACTACCTGTTAAAAATAAGTCTTCAGAATGTTCTTCTGTGAAAGACATACCAGAGCAATAACCTGGATGGAGGAATGACTGGCAGTATTACTGTACAGGAAAAGCTTCCTTCAAAACATGATTATAAACATATCATTTGTATCAACCATTAGTTGGACACACTCAAATTACATAAAATCAAGTAAAGCAGACCTCTTTCACCATACTGTGAGCAAAGTGTTTTCTCTTAAAATGCACAAATAGTCTTAAATTTTATCTTTAAACAGGTTTTCCTATTGGGGTAACATCAATAAAAATGATTTTAAAATATTAAGATATTTACGGCCGGGCGCAGTGGCTCACACCTGTAATCCCAGCACTTTGAGAGGCTGAGGTGGGCGGATCACGAGGTCAGGAGTTTGAGACCAGCCTGGCCAACATGGTGAAACCCCATCTCTACTAAACTACAAAAATTAGCTGGGCGTGGTGGCACGCACCTGTAATCCCAGCTACTCAGGAGGCTAAGGCAGGAGAATTGCTTGAATTGGGAGGCAGAGTCTGCAGTGAGCCAAGAGGTGCCAATGCCCTTCAGCCTGTGGGACCAGAATGAGACTCCATCTCAAAAAAAAATTAAACTGGTAAAATTAAAGATTTTAATATTAGTGTTCTGTTTACTGAACTTTTAAAACATAACTCTGCCCACTTCTGTCAAATAACTAAGTTGAAAGAGTAGCACGACTCAAGGCTCCCTACACCCTCTCCTCCTCTGCCGGGTCAGCACCTGCTTTGGATTCCCCACACAGAGCTCCATGAAGGCAGGGACACATCTTTATTCACTCCCATATGCCCAGAACACAGAAGTCACTCGTTACACATTGTTATCAGCTGAGATTATCCTAATCTCACCTTGTTTTCTGAGTTTTTCGCTTGTGCAGTTGATGAATAAAGAATAAAGCAGTTATTACTACAGAAGACAATGTCCTTCTCTACCCTCTTGGTGCTTTCTCGGGAATCCTGAAAAGCAAAGAGAAATGTGTGGGAATCTCAACAAGTCAAAATTTAATAAAAACAGGATCTATACATTATTTTTATGTTATATTCAAAAGTGACAGTGGTTCTTTATCTTAATAGTAGAAAGGAAACTATGTTCCAATATTTAGCATGTGATAATTTAGCTAGGGAAAAAATACATGTATAAAACCAAACTATGTGGTCCACGGTTCACTCTATTTAAAAATACGTAGTCCTCATAATATTCCCTTTAACAGCCTGTTGTAGCTCTTTGGTGTTCAGCCCAAGCACATCTGATATACGCTGGTGCCATCACCAGGAACATGTGTCCATCACACCACCATAAGTGGTGTCTCTCTCTGATGTTGGAAGAGACACTGCCAAGGACATTTTCGCTGGAGGTAGGAGGTGGGGTCATAAAAGGAGTAGCAAAGTACCTTGTTCAAAAGGGTCAGATCTTTGAAAGATTTCCGCACACCACTTCCAAGAATAACCACTTTACAATGACAACACCACTGTGGTCTGAGTGCTGCGCTTTCTGCAATACCATGACTAGAATCCTTATATCCAGAAAGACCTAAAGGCAATCAACTTTTGTTAGTAATTAAAACTGACTGATGACACAAGGTGGCACATGGTGAAAAATTATGCAGTATCAACTCATTACAACATGGTTCATTAACATTATTCTTTAATTAATAAAAAAAATTTATCTTCTAAGCAATGGTTACAGAGTCGATTATCTGACACTAGGGCAAAAATAAAGAAACATGCCTATTCTCAAATAGCTGGGAAAGCAATGGCAGTATAAAAGAAGAATCTAATAAAACTAAGTCACCAAGAGAGATTACTATTCAGTCTAAGTACAAAGTAAGACAGAGAGGGAAACAGATATTACTTTTGCTTGCAGGTTAAGATGGTAAAAAAACATTTTATGAAAGATACAATGACATATGTATAAGAGTCTTAAATAAGTGTGACTTGCAGAGTCAGAAATGAGGAAAGAGCCAAGGCCAAGGATAAGAAGGTAAATAAGGACTCAGGAATTAGAAAGCATCATTCAGGTGCAGTGTGAAGGCAAAAAGGAGCAGGGAAAAAGTGACAGAACAGCTAGAAGCCAAGAGGAGGAAGCCAGGGCCTGGACTGAGCACGCCTGTAAGATTGCCAGTGAGGCAGGAAGGAAAGCGACATCATGGTCGGTCTAAGGAAGTTGTTCCATTCTCAGAGATGGGGGGCATGAACACCTCTGTGGGAAGAGAAGGGCCCTATAGAGCTGGTGCAGAGGTAAAACAAGAGGTAGGTGAGGATGGAAAGCAGAGGAGAACAGGAAACAGAACCCACGTCAGGTCACCAGCCCCATCTGTACCAGGTGGCCCAGGTGCAGCGGGATGGGGGTTGGGAGACAGGAAGAACAAAAGCTGCTCAAGGGCAAGCCCGTCACAGGCTTCTTCTGGCAGCCTGCACAGATGGCTGGCACTCACATAGCCCCTGGTGACAGCATGACAGAATACACAGGCCAAAGCACTAGAGGTCAAAATCACAGCACAGAAAACAGAACACCCACACATGGTAAGTTCACCAAGGACTATACGCCAGCATGTTACCTGTCCGTTGTTAAAAGATAATCAGTATCTCAAAGAGTAAGCTTAACTTTTGAATCAGGAATGGATTTGGGGTTAACAAAAAGCTCACTAGCTCACCATTGCTTGTTGGAGGAAATGGTACATTAGGCTGCTTCAGCCGGTAAGAGCTCACTAATCTGGGAGGGTTTGCAGATCCTGGCGGAGGCCCACGGAGAAGTAAATGCTGTCGATACTCCAAACCCGGGTTGATTCTGTGGCTACTGACCAAACCCATGGATGGGACATCTGGAGCACTGCTAACCTCATAGCTGTTAGGGATTCGGACGTGAAGAAGGTCGGAAAATGCAGCCACAACACTGCTAATGTTCTAAAACCAAATGCAAATGCTGTATTATTCACCCAGAAGGCAACAGTGAACCACTGAAGAAAAATACACACTTAGGATAAATCCTCTTTGCATGATACATAGATTCTAAGAAAATCCAACAAATTTTATTTAGACTTAAAGAACCTCAGGAAAAAAATTAGCTCTAACGAACTAATATCCAAAAAAAGAAATTTATAAACAGAAATCCTCATAAAGGGATTCCAATTAACATTAAATATCTAGTAACACATTAAACTATTTTAGATATTGTAACATCTGACAGACCCCGTCAGTTCCTACAGGTGGTCAGAAAGCTTACTTCCAGGGGCTTCCCTCCAGCTCTGACACAACCCGTAAGAACAGACAAAGGTCTTGCTACTGCTGTATTTTGTTGATAACCAAAATATCACATCATTGGACTTCTAGTTTGGTCTCTACTGAAATGTCTTCACAGAATTCAGAGTTAAAAAAATAAAAAATCCTCAGGAAATTACTTATGTTTGATATAAGCAGATGCTACTTGAAGAACATTTCTATTGCTTCTGCAAAACTATTACTGTTGATAAAGTTCTTTTTCATTGCTTAATTTTCTTCTCTGTTAACAGTTACAAAGAAGTTTTTTCTGAGATGGACATGATGGCTCACACATGTAGTCCCAGCTACTGAGGAGGCTAAAGCAGAAGGATTACTTGAGCCCAGTAAGTTTGAGGCTGCAGTGAGCTATGACTGTGCCACTGCACTCCAGCCTGGGCAACAGAAGGAGACTGTGTCTCTATTAAAAAAAAAAAAAAAAAAAGAGTTCTCTAAAGTATACATCCTTTAATAAGAAAATGTGAGCTCTAATTTCCCTTTTTACTTGACGTAGGCTGAGACCAATTCAATGACAAACGATGGCACTCAAAGGCAGCTGAGAGGTCTGCAGTGAGCATCAGCTCTGCTCTCTGACCCTTTATCCTCAGTGATCCTGTTTGTGTGTGTTTTATGGTAGACACCTGACCCATCTTTGAAAATTGGGGACATACTGTTTAACATTAAGAAGTCATTTAATCTTTTACCTCAGCAGCTGTAGGATGCAGAGTAATTGCTACAGATATAAGACCTGATCTGGGACCATTTGGGGAAGGACCAAAAGGTGACGCAAAATATAAAGTGCCTGGCTCAGTTTTGATGTCATTCCTTCTTGATTCTGAACCTTTAAAAAGAGAGAAAAAAAAGAGGAAAATAGTGTTAATGGATTTTCAAAATCAAAATATTTACATTAGTAAATTGGCGTAGTGTAAAGGGAAATAATAAGGTTAAGTGTTGTTCTTACTTTTCCCAGCAGTGCTAGGAAGAATTGGAATGATGGGGGACGGCACCGGTTCTGGAGGCTCCTCCTTGACCAATGACAGATCTGGATACCTGCTCACTTCTACCCCAACCACACTCTCAGGAGAGGATGAGGGAACAAAACTGTCAGGAGTATCTCGATCACCACAGTGATCCTGTATCCTGAAAAAACATAAACACACACATCAAAGTCTGCAAATCCACCACTGGGGGCTTCCTGTACCAACCCTGCTGACATCTGTGAATACAGCTGTAAGGATACTCTGGGCAGCACCTATACGATGAGCAGCAAATGAATCAGCTCAGAGCCACACTGGGAAAAAAATACAAGAACAATATTTAGTTACAAAATAATTTAAATGGTATGTTTCCTTTTAACGAAAGCTTCAGCACCAAAGTTTGAAGACCTGCCAAAGAGGAAGATGTTCTGATTAGCATGTAACATAGAGAGCATGAAAGCACCTTTTCAAAATCCCAGATCGTTGAGCCTAGGGCAGCACTCCTGCAGCTTGAAAAGGAAAGAGCTGCTGGTTGGATTTAACAATAAAAAAGGAAAACTTTAAAAAGACAAAAAAAAAAGGAAAGAGAAGTCCAACACATATGCAATGGTCACACCTGCATTCACCTGACTGGGAAAACAGCTGTCCTACTGCTGCTCTTTACACTGGCAAGATGGGAGAAAACTTAGCCATTGACTTGATCGGCCCTTATTTTTCTTAACTGATAAAGTGAGGTGAGAAAAACAAAAGACTGGTCCCTTCTGTTGAGTTCAAGTTTGAGTCTACCAGGCCAATTGTGAGGTCTCAGACTAAGTTCCACAACCCTGTGGAACTGCTGTCTCCCACTCCTCACGCAGAGAAGTAGCTGTCATGCAGGAGACCCAAGAAAGGCTGGCCTACTGAGGTACAGTAGAAAGAGGACCTGGATCCTCAATTGGGACAGATTATTCTCCACTTCGGTCCAAAGTTTCCCCATTAATAAAGTAAGGGACTTAGGTTAAATAAATGTCTCATCAAATAGAGGGTAGTGGGCAGATTTTCCAAAGAAGAGATAATTATTTGATGAAGTTGTAAGAACCCTCTGGATCTAAAGAGTTGGCTAGCGATCATCTACTAAGGGAACTTGATTCTCCCCAATTAGAATCTTACAGTTAAAGAACTGACACAAAGACATCAAACCCCAGACAGTTCTTAAACTCTCTTCCACGACGGCGTTCTCTGATATAGCAACTTCTGCTCTTTCATTTTAGACATCTACAAACAACAATAAACCCAATAAATCACATTAATACCCTTTAAAGGACAATGATTTCTGAAATATGTTGCATGGAGATTTTCCACTACCTTCATGTCTATTAGATTATTTAATTAGATTAAATAATCTAATACTTAACTGTCTATTAGATTATTTAACTCTCTATATGATGTAGGCTTAAAAAAATGCAAACTAATTATGTTTAATGGTAACAATGTCTTATAAACTTTAAATCCTGAAGATTATTCACCAAATTGTACTCTTCAAATGTTTTTACATGCTATTCCTAAAGACATTATGCCACATACATACATTTATTTTTTTTAAAAGAAGAAATAACTAAGAATTATTTGAGAAAAAAATAACCTGTACCTTAATTCTTCCTGATTGTTATGAGGTGGTGTTGGGAGGGAGGCTGGCACATCAACTGTCTTGGGGCCCTGAGCAAGAGCTCGGGCCAACAAGTCGTCCTGGGGTCTGAAGGGCAGCTGAAATGGTTTAGGTCCTAGAGTTTTGGTAACTGGAAAAGCAAAAACACAAAACCATAAATACATTCAGTCAATATTGATAAATGGGTAGAACTTTACAATTCTATTGCCATTTCACAATACACAACTGGCAGAGGCACATTTCTCCGAGGTGTGAAATTTGGAGGCTATAATCATACCTTCATGGCTCACTAACACTCCGGCTTTTCCAGCAAGTTCTTCAGTTGTTGCAAAACCATTGGCCATCTTCTGACAAGCCATAGGAGGTGGTGTAGGAGGAAGAGAGGCAGGGGGTGTTGGAGGATTACTTAAATTATTCTGCTGCAGGAGACCAAAAAATTTAAATTATATGCTACTGAGCGAATATGCAATGACCTTGCTAAAACGTAGTTCTGTGAATTTTTTGCACATAGAAGCAAGGCTACAGAAATGTAATCAAGATGTATCTTGCACACCAAGAAAACAATACCTACAAGGCCAGGAGGCTTCTTAGTGGAACAGATACTCGTGATTTTATGGACATACCAACTTGCTTACTTTACCCAGCTTGACTACTTAAGCTCTGAAATTAAGAAGCTAATTTCCTTTCTACCTGATTTTATTTATGCAATTCTTCAAGTTTCGTGGTTATAGCTAGTGAAGGATAACTTTAAAATGCAATCAAGAAATTGCAAAATATTATCAAAATATCCTTTAAGTTCTCATTAAGATATGCCCTAGTTCTATGAAAAACTTAAGAATTTCTGGTCTTAAACTTGTAATACAACTCACATCCGAGATATGAGAATCTGGATTGACTAAGACCTTTAAAAGAAGCAACAGTACTAATGCTACTACTAAAGTAACTAAATCATTAATGTAGTTCCTCTTCAGACACCTCTCCCAGCTTAACAGTTATCACCAATTTGTCATTTACTGATTAGTCTCTCAAGGAGAGACTTGGAATCTACCAATAACACCATGCAAATCAAGTGCAAAGTCAAATTACAAATTTTGCAAAGATAAAGAATTTCATGAGGATGATAAAATAAGGTTGGAGAACAGCTTATGAGTTAAGATAGTTTTTTTTTTTTCTTTTTGGAGACAGAGACTTGCTCTGTCACCCAAGCTAGAGGTAGAGGGCAATGGCACAATCATGCTCACTGCAGCCTTGACCTCAGGGTGTGGTGGTGCATGCCTGTAGTCCCAGCTACTTGGTAGGTTGAGGCACTAGAATTGCTTGAATTTGGGAGGCAGAGATTGCAGGGAGCTGAGATTGCACCACTGCAATCTGGCCTGGGTGACAGAGCGAGACCCTGTCTCAAAAAAAAAAAAAAAACCTACAATAGTCTAGGAATTACTTGTAATTAATACCTAAATTATTAGATATACTTAAAATTGTTTAATTTCATTTTTCAAGGTAAACTACTACTTTTTTTAAATCCCCACCATTTACAATGATTTTTGAATTCATTTTAAGTGTTAATAAAGGTTATAAGGAAATAAGGATTTCCACTACCATGGAAGTACATAATAGATATTTCTTGCAATTTGTATTCTTACCTATAAAAACAACTTCAAATGTTTATGCTAGAAATACTTCACCAGGTAAAATTTTAACCCTGTAGCTGAACTTAAGTTTTAATAAAACTTGGAAGAGTAGATGTAAACTAAATACAAAAATAAGACAAGCTCTATCAATTCTGACATGTTACCCAAAGATGAAGCAAGACAACACCTTGGCAGAGAAACATACCTTGTAGATCAACTGAGAATAGTAGTCCGAAACCCCTTCCAGGGTAGCACTGCCAAAAGTTCCTAGAAGTCGATTCCCACTATTAAATTGGCCACTGCCATAAGGAAGAAAGTGCGCAAAGTTCACTCCAATGATTGGTTCCATTAGAGGGAGCAGAGAGAGCTGCTATTAAAAAACACATTTAAGAGTAATGTACATGATAAAAGGAACTCAGTGTAGCTCAACTTTCTAAGACCCGAAGCAACTTTGTTGAATAAGGCTTCAGAAAAATGAGACTTAAAATTTTCAAGTATCAAAATGCTGGAGTAAGTGAGAGAGACTACAGACCTTTGAGACTTAAAAATAAGCTCTGTACTAAATGAATGCTGCCAGGCATCTAACAAGAAAAACATATTTCTTATCTATGCTCAGCAAAAACTGGGGCATCAACTGAGGCTGGGTACCACCAACAGCACTGTTAGCAACTGTCTCCCACCTTCTGTAACAACCACAAAGGTGTAGAACAGAATTCACAATGTGTTTCTTTGGATTCAGAGTCACAACAAAGTACTGAGGACAGATTTTTTTCTTGGTACTGAGGCTACTCCTTATGAACATAAGAAAATCTTGACTATCACCTATCAATCCATTTGTATTACCGTAAATTTCAGATGCCAATAGGATACGGTGCAATTCTGCTTGGAAAAAGTCTACTAGGTTCCTTGTCCAGATGTCTTTTAGCATTTGATCTCTCGTGTCCTTGAATTGTTTGTTTTTTTTTTGTTTTTTTTTTTGAGACACAGTCTCATTCTGTCACCCAGGCTGGAGTGCAGTGGCACAATCTCGGCTCACTGCAACCTCTGCCATCCAGGCTCAAGCAATTCTCGTGCCTCAGCCTCCCAAGTAGCTGGAATTACAGGCGTGTACCACCACGCCCAGTAAATGTTTGTATTTTTCGTAGAGATGAGGTTTTGCCATGTTGGCTAAGCTCATCTAGAACTCATGCCTCAAGTGATCCACCTGCCTCAGCCTCCCAAAGTGCTGGGATTACAGGCATGAGCCACTGCCCCCAGCCTATATCCTTGACTTTTAAAAGAGGCTGCTCTAAATGACTCACCCTCACCTGTTTCAAGTGGGTAAACGTGTCAGTGCTAGAGTACATAGCTTGTTTCTCCTCTTCGTCCTTTTTCCTTTTCTTTGAGCGAGGTGCTGCTTTCTCACCCGTCCTCTGAGTCCGTTTGCTTCGCTGTTTCTTGGTTTCACTTCCTCCATCTGTTTTTGGCAACTGGTTGCCACATCCAAAACCACCTTGCATTTGAGCCCCCAAAGTTTGCTAATGTAATTGGAAAGGGTAAAAAATAAGTGAACAATTTGCATATTTGGTTTTTAGTTCATGCAGTGCCAAGCTATGACGCGTCATCCTAACATGGCACTAAAAGGTATTAAATAAGTAGGGAAGATAGAGTGGTGTCAATGCTGGTTTTCCAAAAACACCATCCTTTTCTTCAAACGTTATTCTCGAGTATGGAAATCAGTAAGCTGCGAAGCTTGAGGAAAGAGCAGAACTCATTAGTAAGGCCACAGCCCTTTCTGGCAAAGCATTACCCCTCATGCTGACCTCCCTGGGGCTGGGGAACCCCTTATTCCTGCTTACTTACTGCAGAAGGGAAGGAAATGCTTGTAGATGGCTATAGGAGCCTCTGCATAGTGGTCTTGGTGAGTTATTTTTGGTTCCCCTTAGGAACTAGTGAAATATGAGGTGTGCTGAAACAATTCACAGGCTCCAGAAAAGCTTTACAGCCTATGCATCTTAGGTGAGAGAACAGATAGCACCAGACAACAATAAAAAGAAAAAACACTGGTTCTTCAAATTAGTTCACAACCGTATTTGACTGAAAAATAATGGCCACATACTTAAAGTCAATGGGAGAGAACGTAGATGATAACAAATAAACCTTTTCTTTATTTTTATCATTACAAAGTGAGAATAAGCCAAGCCCTGAAAAGGCCTTTAAGGGTAGTCCTATCAGTACCTTAAAACACAGGAATATTTTCAGGCTCCATTATTTCTAAATTTAACAGCAGTACTCTGCTATAGACGATTATAGTAGCTGAACTTACTGTAATGAATTCTGCATTGAATCTCTGACGGTTCTGAAAATTAGTTTCCAGTTATATTCTAAATAGTTTAGCGCATGGATGGCAACATTTTTATGTAAAGAGCCAGATGATAAATATTGTAAGCCTCTGTAGGCCATACAGCCCCTGGCATAATTACTCAACTCTGCCCTTGTACTTCAAAAGCAGCCATAAACAATTCATAAATCAATGAGCTTGGCTGCGTTCAAATAAAACTTTTAAAATTCACGGACAAATTTGAATTTTGTATAATTTTTATGTGTCACAAAATACTACTCTTCCTTAGATTTTTTTTCAACCATTTAAAAATGTAAAAGCCATTTTTAGCTCATGGAGGGAGGCGAAAGCAGGCTTAGACTGCTCATCTCCAGGCTAGTTCTGTGGCTCTCAAGGGGTCTCCAGGGCGGCAGCAGCATCTAGAGCTGGTCTAGAAATGCAGATTATCTGGTCCCACCCAGACCTGCAGAATCAGAAATACCGGGGCTGGAGCCCAGCAATCTTGGTTTAACAAGCCCTCCTGGTGCTCCTCACACTTTAGCTTTGAGAATCACCTGCCTAGAGCAGTACTTCTCCCCTTCAGATGCTCAGGAATCACCTGGGGATCTTCCTAAGTCTACATTCTGAGAAGCAGGTGTGTGGCGGGAGATTCTGCATGTGTTACAAAGCTCCCACCTGATGTGGATGCTGCGGATCCCCAAGGACTGCACTCTGAGTGGCAAGAACCTAAAAATTAATTATATATATATATTTATATATTTATATTTATATATATATTTATATATAGATGTATATATTTATATATATTTAAATCACTATATATTTATTTAAATCACACTTTAATTTGGGGGGAGGGGCTACTTTTTAAACTTGACGTGGTTGTTCCCCATGCCATTAAACATTCTTACACCCACAAATTTTAATATAAACATGCTCAAAATGTAGTCTACGTCCTTCAAGGAGCTATTTAAATAATGTTAAGTGGTACAACAGAAATCGCTATGTGAGAACACGAGCATCAACACATATTTGAGATTGGGAGAGGTGAGAAAGGTATCTGGAAAAAGATGACTCAAGAACTGCATTTCAAAAGATAAAAATATATTGTCCAGACGTATATAAGAAGGGAGAACAGAACAGGCAGAAGCAGCAGCATGTGGTATACATAGAAGGGTAAAAAGACAGAAGGCTGCAAGTTATTCAGTACTCCTCAGGGTATAAGATGTCTTGGAGAAAGTGGATGGAGACTGTGCTGGAGAGTTGCCTATATTTACTGGTGACAACTGTAAAAGCATAACCAGTAAAATTTACAAAAATTACACAAATCTATCAAGTCAACACTCAATCTCTACTGAATGGTCAAAGACAAGAAAAAAAGCAACACTTGCAAAAAGATGAGCTTCATTAACAATCTTAAAATGAAAAAACTGGACAACTAAATATACCACTCAACCCTTAATTAAAATATGAAAATGAAATCCAATTTGAGAAGCTCTCTAGGGACAGCTTTATGAATGCACTGGTAATGGCACTGCACCTTCTGAAAGATAAACAGGCAAGAGCTATTAAGCAGACCAATTCCCATGACTCAAACTCCAGTTTTGGAACTATCTTAATGAAGTTAACTGAAATAAAGGGGACAGATTCTTGTAAAGGTATATTTACAAGTTAGCTCTTCATGTAAATGAAAAAAAAAGCAAATTAAATGTTAATAACTTAAAACTGATAGAAAATTGATACATGGAAAACTACAAAACAGTATCTACATGTAACATTACATTAAGTATCAATACAACACTGTAACCACACAATAGCTTCCCAGTGTGGTATCCCTAAGAGTGCCAAGGGTATTAATAGGGGTGCATGGGCTATCCTCTGCATTTTAAAGAGGTTAATGGAAATTAATCACTTATTTACAATAAAGTACATAGACATTTACTTACTTTGCTTTAGTCATATCAACTCAATGTGGTAATAACCAGTTGCTACACATCACGTTATATATGAAATGCAATACATGCCTTTGCTTTTTAAAAAATAGTAAACAAATTATTATTTAATATAGTTTAGATATAAGTAAAAACATGGGTTCCAGAGAGGTAGAAATGACAAAATAAAAAATGGTCCTTTAGAATAAAAAGGTTGTAGAATAATGTGGAAATACAGTTGCTGGTACTAATCTGCTGTAAGTATAATTTAAAACAAAAGAAAAAAGTTGTCGTTTTTATGATTTACACTTACCAGTCCTTCAGCTGGGTTCTGCTTCTCAACTAGTTTATTATCCTTTGTACAGTCATCTTCTGAACAAATACTGCCCTCAGGTTTTTGATTCAAAAGAGAAGATGACTTTTTATTTTTCAACAAGTGTTTCAGAAGTTCATTCCCTGAGTCTCCTTTGGCAGCAGGGGCCCCAGCAGAATGGGGAGGACTCTGTGCTGAGGAGACAGGACAGGCTACAGCGTTTCCTTCTACCTTACTACCATTCTGTTCCTCCAATTTAGGCTCCTCTTGGCCTGGGCAGGACTCTGTCTCAGCCTTTTCCAGTTTTATCTCTTCTGTTTTGGCAGGGGTTTCCATGGAGAGCTTGTCTACTTCTGAATTTGCATACGTCTGTTGATTTGGAGTTGCTTGTGAGAAATCACTATTGGGCAGTTTGTTCTCTAATTCTGTACATAGCTGGCCTGCTGCCATATTGGGAGTGGATGGGCCGACTGGTTCCACCGACTCTTGGTCGGCTTGTTGAGGAAGCTCACTGGGTGTGCTCACTGCAGGAGTAGAGGTAGTTTCTGAGATGCCTGGAGTCGGTGGGGCAGTTATATCTGAATGGGGAGTTGATGGAGCCTTGGTGGATTCTGCATCATCATCTCTTTTCTTCTTTCTTGTTCTTTTCTTTTTCCCTTTTTCCTCTGGGATTATATCAGAATACAACTGAATGAGCGATTGGGTTGATCCCGGATAACTGTGTCCATGGGTTATAGTAGAATCTTGGCCACATGGGAGACTGCTATTAGCTACTGGAGGTGCTGCTGGTAAAGCAGGTGTAAAAGAAGGCCTCACTGGGGACTGCTGGAAGCTGGTCCCAGAAAGATTTCCATGTCCCTGCTTCACAGAAGAAAAATTTGGGCTTCCAACAGGGATTGATGGTGAATCAGGAACAAATGAAGGAGGGCCTACCTGCCTTCGCTCATTAGTCTGCATGAAAGTTTGGGTGGAGGGTGAATTAATTGATCCTTGTTGTATATTCTGCTGCTGTAAAACCTGCCCCATTTGCTGTTGGTGTTGTGGAGACTGCTGAAGGGGTCCTAGAGGTTGCATAAAATCACAAGGTAAGTCGGAACTGTAGAAGGGAATCTGGGACACAGATGTCCTACTACTACTTATCTCAGAGCCCACCATACCATGCTGCTCCATTTCCATCCTCTGCTGCAAAGCTCTTTGTCTATCTACCTCCTGCATGAGTTGGATCCGTTGTCTCTCTTGCTGTTCTCGTAAACGTTCCTTACGTTCCCGTTCTTGAAAACTTTCACTAAAGGGATTGTTGTCATCAAATTCTACCCGAGGTGGTGGTCCACTCTGTGGATTTGCATTTGAGACTGTCCCTGGGGCTGGTGTACAAGTTTTTATTGGTAACTGGGCAATTGGGGGCTGAATTCTAGGAGGATTGAGGGGCAGGTGGGCAGGAGCACTGTTGGGTTGCCATCCAGGTAAACTGGGCATTCTAACAGGGCTAGTATGGCCAGAAATAACTGTTGTGTGCTGCTGGTGCTGAAGCTGCTGTGGCACCATGGGAAAGGTGGGTTGGCTCATGGTGGGTGGAGTGGCACCTGGAATTAGGGGTGGCTGGGGCTGGACACTGGGCATCATGGTAGGTGGGGCCATTGCACATTGCTGCTGCTGTTTGATCCGATAATCTTCAATCAATTCAGCATGTTCTTTCTGTTGTTTACGAATCTGGAATAACAAAATGCATCATTACTCATTTCTATACAGCATAGGTACTGAAGTAAAACACTGGCTGATGACTGTGGTTGAGGTTACACAGAGGGCAGTTTGGCCCTGCAGAAGCAAACATATTTTGCTTGGGTAACTGCAAAAGTCACAAAAAAATTGAATTGATAAGCCTTAACTAACAACTGTCAATCTCTTTAACAACAGGATTTTTATAAAGTTATCTGTAAAAGTGCTTCACATATGAAATATCAAAAACGGTTTAGTAAAATATTAAAATCTTATGGTGAAACTCATATATACTATTTATACTATACATAAAAAATATACAATAAAAAAGGTTACACAAGCAGCTAATTTTGATGTCCTAGAAATTACAATATACAATGTTAGAATAACAGACTTAACTCAAACTTGAACCATTTAAATGTTAAGATTTCATTTCTTAAATATATAAATTGTACAACATTTTTTTTTTTTTTTTGAGACGGAGTCTCGCTCTGTCGCCCAGGCTGGAGTGCAGTGGCGCGATCTCGGCTCACTGCAAGCTCCGCCTCCCGGGTTCACGCCATTCTCCTGCCTCAGCCTCCCGAGTAGCTGGGACTACAGGCGCCCGCTACCACGCCCGGCTAATTTTTTGTATTTTTAGTAGAGACGGGGTTTCACCGTGTTAGCCAGGATGGTCTCGATCTCCTGACCTCGTGATCCGCCCGCCTCGGCCTCCCAAAGTGCTGGGATTACAGGCGTGAGCCACTGCGCCCGGCCTGTACAACATTTTAAGACAAGATGAATTACCAGCACGAATATCACACCCCCCACCCAGATTAAAAAGACTAAATTTGTTGAACACTTTCAATTTAATGGCTAACACTCAAATTATAATTTCTGAAATCTATACAAGCTCCGAGGAAGTATTTTGAATAGTCTGTAAATAGACTCTTAATATAATGGCTAATATCAATTAATTAATTCATTCCAAAAACCTTTGTGTCCCAATGTGCTCAATACTACAGGCCAGATATCAATCAAGACGCAAACTATGTTCTGGAGAACCTCACCATCTCATTCAGCAAGCTAGGGAAAGAAGGAATGCAAAAGGATGTGTATATCTCTCAACATCATTCAATTTTTAGATAAATATTAATATACTAAACTCAGGAGTTCTAATAGTTTTTCAAAGTATTTTCTTGGGTTCCCCAGGTAGACTAATACTTTCTGCAAATAATCGTGTTTCATCTCTTCTTCAACAGTTGTGTAACTCCTATTTTCTTATTTTTCCTGGCCAGTTTACTGGTTAGAACTGAGAAATTACCATTGGTTGGTGAAGTAGTAAGAAAGTACAGAAAGCACCTACAACACTATGTGGGATATATAAGGTGGTCATCCATGTCTTTCCCATGATATTTTATAATACTTTTTAAAACATTACCATCAACTGCTTATCTTAATATGATTATACTGGATCTTTGGCAACTATGTAATAGATGATGTATCCCATTTTTCAAGTATTAGCTTCTAAATAGGATTTGATCTATGGATATGCAAAAATTAGGCCCTCATCAAAAGACCTTGTACAAATATGCCAGATGGCAATGAAAGTGCTAAAAAAAATATACTTTATTAAACATATCTTTACAAGAATATTAACCTACAGTAAACATGAACCCAGAGAGTAGATTTAAAGAGAAAAGAAACCTTTCATTCTGGAATAATCCTAGTTTTAAACAACTGGAATTATGATCACCTTATTGTTGGTACATTATTGTGGTAGCTGTGGTTTGAAGATAAGACACGTGAGTCCAAATCCCTAATCTAATAGTTATAAGCAAACATGTACAGTGGGGGTATTTTTTGGGATTTTTTTTGTTTTGTTTTGTTTTTGAGACAAGAGTTTTGCTCTTGTTGCCCAGGCTGGAGTGCAATGGTGCAATCTCAGCTCACTGCAGCCTCCACCTCCCGGATTCAAGCAATTCTCCTGCCTCAACCTCCCAAGCAGCTGGGATTACAGGCACCTGCCACCATGCCTGGCTAACTTCTTGTATTTTTAGTAGAGACGAGTTTTGCCACGTTGGCCAGCTGGTCTCGAACTCCTGGCCTCAGGTGATCCGCCTGTCTTGGCTTCCCAAAGTGCTGGGATTACAGGCGTGAGCCACCGTGCCTGGCCACGTGTACACAGTGTTTATAACCTTTACAATGAATCAGTTTGTAAAATGGGGATAATACTAACTCCTTCAGAAAGATGTAGATAAGACAACGTAAATGGAAGTGCTTCCTACAGTGTTCATTATAGAGCACTCACATTTTTTTTTTTTTTTTTTGAGATGGAGTCTCACTTTGTCGCCAGGCTGGAGTACAGTGGCGCAAGCTCGGCTCACCACAACCTCTGACTCCTTGGTGCAGGGATTCTCCTGCCTCAGCCTCCCAAATAGCTGGGATTACAGGCACACACCACCATACTTAGCTAATTTTTGTATTTTTAGTAGAGACGGGGTTTCACCATGTTGGCCAGGCTGGTCTCAAACTCCTGACCTCAAGTGATCCACCCACCTCGGCCTCCCAAAGTGCTGGAATTACAGGTATGAACCACCACGCCTGGCCTGAACCTTAAGTTTTTAATTTACTTGGGTAAATATACCTAGGAGTTGGCTCTGAACCCATTTTGTACACTACTATTGTTTTATTTTAAATACAATTTTTACATGTTTCTTCTTTTCCAGTATATTATTCAGTTTAAATATTCTGATAAACTTCTGGTTTATAATAGAAGATAATGGCAAAATGATTTCATTTTTCTGGAACAGTACTTCACATAAGACATACCAATGTATTTTAAGACCAAAACATTAAGAAATAATAATAATATCAACTCCAAGTAAACAAAAATACTCCCTGGGCCCCCAATTCTTATTCCAAACTAAACCCAGTATCTCCCCATGAGCTCGGTCCTCAGTTAAGTCGAATACTCTCAATGATGTATAACAGAAACATGGTCTTTGCAGTGATTTCTTAGTGCAGAAAAAAATAACGTCTCCAACTATACCAAAGTTGAAAATAGTTCTTCGAAGTCGAAATTATGAGACTCAATCTCTTTTGTGTCATTTATTTAGTATGTGCTGTGACCGTCACTTTAAGTAAAAGACTGGAGCTGTTATGGCTGCAGTTACTAAGAGGTCTCAGAGCTGTCACTTTTTGGCAATGTACTTTTAATGCCATTTAATACTAGTCAAAAAAAATCACTAGTCAAAGTCACTAATGAACAACACACCAAAACATTCTACTCATTAATTGTTGGTAGTTTCTATTTTGCAAACCTATTTATTACCTGTTCTAGCTGTTTCTGAACCATGCTTTGCTGTTCAGTAACATGCTTGAGTTGTTCTGCATCTTCCTCTGGAAATTCACGCCCAGCTTTCTTGGCAGTACGTTGTTTAGCTGAAAGGGCCTTCTTAGATTTTCTGTGAGCACCAATTTGTTCTTCAAGATACTTCTGCTGCATTTGAAGCAGCTGTTGGGTCTCCTGGAGCCACTCTTCATACTGCTTACGCTGTGAATCATCTGAGGAAAAATTAAAATTCAGTTGTGTTAATTTTCTAAAGAGTCCAACATTATAAGTTACACAAATCTATTTTGTAAGGAAGTAGTTTCACCATGACCACATAATAGGAAATTTGAAAACACAATACTAAATATTAGACGATTATGTAATGATAAAATATCAGATTTTAGAAAAATATTTAATTGAGAAAGCCAGAGAATGCACATTCTTGAGATACTGGTTAACTTAGCACTTATAAATATTACAAATCCAATCTTGGAAAAGCAGACTTATGTAATGAAATTCTTTTTTTTTACTAAACAAATTCTCTAACCCACAAGCCAAACTACATACTAAGGTATACATGCATTTTATGAATACGATTTTACAGATTTTGAAGAGACAAAGACATATCCCATTAAGGTCTAGCGCATAGACTAGGAAATCACTTCCCATGTTAATTTTCCTGAGTTTATAAGTTCTTTCCTATTTCTTAATAATGAAAAAATATCCTAAACAGAGAGAAAAGGAACCCAGAATGTTTTAGAATGGAATAATTTAAAGTCTATGACTTATAAAGGAAATCCATAAGTTGAAAACATTGGTAATTATTATTCTGTAGTTATATTTTTTAAAATAAGGGGAGGGAATAGTTAACCAAGCAAAACATTTTCTACTTTTACAACTGCCAGTAATTCTCCCCAAATGGCTATATCTCTTCATTTTGTACCAATATTCTCTTCTTTATTCTTTAAGGGCACTTTACTTCATTGATACCCAGTCCAAGGGGAAAAAAAAAAAGTCATCGTATGTAGTGAAATTCTGAATATACCTTTTTGACTCACTACAAGACAAAGAAATGAATAAATACATTTCTAAGAAGGACATTCGCTGAAAATAACATCAATGATAACAGAATATTGTCATACATTAAGAATCCAACCAAAGCCAATGGGCACAATAAAGCCAGAAAAAGCCAGTTGGTATAGTTCTTTACTTGTTTTTAATGCAAATATGTATTCAAATTATAGTAACAATTAATGTAGGGGGAATTTCAAAAGGTCAGACTTTGGGTTTGTTCCTAAACCCAGAAGTTCCAGTACATGTATGAACTTGAAATCTAGTCTACTAAATTTGAAGGGCATTTTTTAAGAACAGGCTTTTTCACAAGATTTCAGAAGTTCTGCTTCTGGTAGAATGAGACCTACCGCAAGGAAAGCCTTTCTGGTTTCTGGAACCAGGAGAGCAGAGGTGAGCAAAATGAAAAATAATGGTGAAAAAAAAGTTAGCTAAACAGTCTGAAGATTTCAGAAAGGTTCAGTTTGGGGAGAACTTTAAACACTATCCTGAACCACCTTGGGACCCCTGCAAATAACTAGAAAGGATTCAGGGGCACCTTGCATACCTGACCTTTACACCATGCTGCTAACCCAACTTACTGCTAAGTATAATCCCTTTGTTTTTCCCATTTAGTGTCCTTGTCACTTAGGAAGACAGTTCTTAGAGCAAAACGTGGTTTAGTTCTATAGACTGTAAAGTGCCCAATCTGTATACAAAAACAGCAACAATATTGAAGAGAATGGGGAAGATGGTTTTTCTGTATTAAAATACTTTTCTGTAACTATAATTCTTCATGCACAGTGAAAAAAGCAATGAAAACACACGCCTTGAAGAAGAGTTGCCTAATAGGGCAGTGATGTTTAATAAGACAGGAGGGCACCTGGGCTTGAACTGGTGTACCTACACTCACTTCAGGTTTAGAACAGCACACATAGAGTGCAGACAAGCAATCCCCAGAAAACATTAACTTATTAGATTTATACTTACTGACAAAGCCTGGACCAAAATTTGGAGGATTAGGCCTAGAAATCTGATGTGTTATACTGCCATCCTAAAATAAGTAAAATTTACAAATATGTTTATTCCACATTTCAGTTAAAGGGGGGAAAAAACTTTAAAAGAAAGAAAGAAAAAAAGAAATGGAAGAAAAAACCCTTTAATTTCCTAAGATATCTTTTAAAGGTTTTTTTATAAAAAGTAGAGTGAATTTAGTGGTGGCAACCTAATTCTGAATTCTTATTACTATCTCTGAACTACTATACTGTCTAGATTTTGGCTGAAAACAATTATGCTTGAGGTAAAGGATTATTCATCAGAAATATAATACAGGGCAAATCAATTACTGCTAATACTAAGCGAGAGATCTATATAAAAAATCTCACTTTTTGATGAAGTTTACCTGGTTTCTTCTTCAATCAAACACAAGTTCCAGATTGACTAAATGCCACTCCACAGCATGGTTATTTATAACAAAAACTAATGTCTCTAACATGCACAAATATAAAAGAAAAATACGTTAATAAAAATATTAGTCTTATTTTCTACACACGCCTGTAGTCCCGGCTACTTGGGAGGCTGAGGTGGTAGGATCGCTTGAGCCCAGGTGTTTGAGGCCAGCCTGGGCAACACAGCAGGATCCTGTTCCCAAAAAAATAAAAAAAATAAATAAAAAGTATTTAATTCGTTTTATTTTCAAGTTAAAAGTCTTATTTCTTCCAGGTGACTGAACAAGCAGTTATTAATCTCACAAGTCCCTGATAATCACCTAACAAATTAATGTTGAAAAATGTTTATCCAGTTGTCACAAGTTCTCCTTAACATGAGCTGTATACAAGGTAATAATTATAAACTTATACTAGCAGCCAGAATGTATTATGTGCAATCTTCACAATACTACAAAGCAGTTGGTTTAACATTTGACATATTAAAAAACAAGAGGCTAAAGAATTTGCCCAAAGTTGCACAGTAAATTCATAGTGGAACTATAATTTCTTTAAAAAAACTCAGCTATAAAGGCTATGCTTTTCCCATTATATCAAATGGCTTCTGTTTCCTCTTTTAATAATGAGAAGAATATAATTATCAGCATAATAAATCTAAAGCATAACTGGCAGGGCAAGGAAGAAAACAGGACATACATTATAGTAGGTAGCTCCCTTTATAAAAAAAAAATCACTGACAAAAATACTGCATGAGTTTTACTTCCCCAGATACTGCTTGATATTATATTAAAAATATAGCATATCTTTCAACAAGGATGGGAAGAAAAAAGGAAAAAACAAATATAGCATATTGTTTTCTACTTGCTGTGTTTGTTTGTTTGAGATGAAGTCTCGCTCTGTCACCCAAGCTGGAGTGCAGTGGCGTGATCTCGGCTCACTGCAACCTCTGCCTCCCGGGTTCAAGCGATTCTCCTGCCTCAGTCTCCCAAGTAGCTGGGACTATAGGTGTGCGCCACCACGCCTGACTAATTTTTGTATTTTTTGTAGAGACGGGGTTTCACTACGTTGGTCAGGCTGGTCTCAAACTGCTGACTTCATAATTTGCCCATCTCGGCCTCCCAAAGTGCTGGGATTAGAGGAGTGAGCCACCGTGCCCAGCCATTTTCTAGTATTTATAGAAGTTTTACATTTTAAATATAATGGGTTTAATTCTAAAATGCAGGACATGAAAATGTCCTTCTGGAGTTAAAAATAAGTAAATAAAAATAAAACCAAAAGTCCTGAGCGTGTGGTTTTGCCATCAAGTGACTTTTTACCCGTAAGTATATAAATCCTTTTCAGAAATCACAGCCAATTTTTTTAACCTTAATTTGTCTTTTGTTTAAAAAGCAGTAAAGTGTCTTTTTGGTTACTTTTGGCTGTGCTGATAGATAAGGCTACTATTTAGGTTGGTGAAAAAGTAATTGCGGTTTTTGCCACTGGCAAATGGCATATGGTGAAATCCGCATTTACTTCTGCACAAACCTAGTACTACTCTCTAGCAGGGGACTTACTCTAAAGCATGAGTTTGCTGGGAAACAGAAAAGCGTGCATTCTAGAGGGACTCATTACAGGCAGTGTTACCTGAGGAATGGCCTGTGGTCCAAGGTTCTGTCCTTCACTGTTCTGTGTTCCAGTTACCACCTGGCCCATAAAAGGGAACCTGTCAAAACAGGGTACACAAGTATCAAGTGATGAGCGTTTAGAAATTATTAATATTAATTAAAAACTGTATTAGGTGCTTAACAGTTTTCTCTTCCAGAGAAGAACAGTGGCAATTTCTTCTTCATCAAAACACTAAAGCCCTACCTTTCATGTACTGGGCAGATGTGATCCTCACTGTAATTCGATGAAGTGTGCTCTTAGCACCCTCATGTTACTTATGATGAAAGTAAGATTCAGAGATATTCCGTAACCTTCCCCACAAGGACTAGTAGGGCTGCAATAAGAAGCCAGCTAGGCTGACTCTAGAGGTTTTACTCTATTATGTGCCTCACTCCACTTTACGATAAAATGAATTCAAGACTTCAGAATAAAAATAAGTTGATTTAGTTTTATAACGAACTCTAAGGAAATGTTTTCTCATTCCAGTCTGTGTTAAAAACTAATTGAGAGCTTAGTTATTTTATATTCTAAAACAAAAGACATTTCCCAATTTAAGAATTTTCATACATTTTCATACATTTCTATATCTAATGTTAAAGCAAATCAAAAATGGACGACTGACCAAGATCAGTCTGCATGGTTAAACGTGTTTAGAGAAATGTTACTCATTCTAATTAAAACTATAAAAACTTCACAGAAGCATTACTGCTTACATGAAAGTATTTCCTCTGGCATTATCAAATGCTTTAACGTATCAAGATATACATACAATTTTAAAAATGTATTCCAAAAGCTGTATATTACTATTTAAGTACTATTAGGATATAGAATATGTTTTTAAATTTTTTACTCAGGTTTTTCATTGATCTGTCACCCTACCCACTGCTACAGGTCTGGTCTAAATGATCTTCTAATCTGAATATCACACATGGTCTATCATCCTAACTCAACATATCACACTACTCTAAGAAGGGACTATCACTTCCATTTCTAAAAAGCAGTCAGTAGAATACTAAGCCATATACCTGATACATGACTAATGTATCTAACCGGCAGATGCATGATGCTAAAAGAGCATCAGATGCTGAAAGGCCTCAAATTCTGAGGTCCATATTTAAAACTAAGTGCTGGTCGGGTGCAGTGGCTCATGCCTGTAATTGCAGCACTTTGGGAGGGGGAGGCAGGTGGATCACCTGAGGTCAGAAGTTCAAGAACAGCCTGACCAACATGGTGAAACCCTGTCTCTACCAAAAATACAAAAATTAGCTGCGCATGGTGGCACGTGCCTGTGATCCGAGCTACTCCAGAGGCTGATGCAGGAGAATCGCTTGAACCTTGGAGGTGAAGGCTGCAGTGAGCCATTGCACTCTATCCTGGGCAACAACAGCGAAACTCCGTCTCAGAAACAAAAACCAAAACAAAACTAAGTAGTAAATAAAACTCAGCATTTCCTTGTTTTGAATATACATAGAAACTACAATATTATTAGCAAGTACCACAACTATCACCAATAGAAGACAGATTATTTTCCTATCGAGTGTTGCAGGCACCTAATAGATTAGTTATGTTCATCATTACTTTCAAATTATGGTTTATTGCTAAATTTGTTAATACTTTAAGGAACATATATACATAAATTTAATTATATTTTAATAACTATATTTCAAGTATAATCATTTCCTTCGTAATGCTATGTCTTAAATTTTCTGCATATAAAACATTCTGAGAATTTCAAAGGCTTCACTGGAATCCAAAAATATTCAAGACATAAAACAGTTAGGAATCTCTATGATAGAGAAATAGTGTTAATAAATATTGCTCAATAATGAAAATCATTGGAAACCACTATCTCTACTTTGATCTCAAAAATGCTTCTTAACCATGTCCAAAGTATCTCAACAATTGAAAAGAATTATACCCTTAAGAATTCAAATTTCTTTGAAATATATACATCTTAAATTCGTGCAAATTTTATATTCAATTCTATAATCATCCACATTTTTTATATAAAAGTTTTTCAACAAGATAACTAGACTAAATTGAGGCTCTATGCTTACTTTATTGACAGAGGTTCTCATATAGTAATACACGTAAGACTCATTCATGACGCTTGCTAAAAATACAGACACACAGGCAACCATCTCCAGATATTCTTATTTAGTAGGTCTGCAGTAGAGCAAAATAATCTGCATTTTAAAAAAATTACCCCATAATTCTCATGGTGGTCCATGATCAAAATTTAAGAAACAGTGCCATGTGGTTAACAACCCTTAGAGGGCATAATTTCAAAAATTCAGATATTGAAATAACCCCTACTGTCTTCTTTAATGCGTAATTTCTGTTTTTCTCCTAAGAGAGAAAAGACAAACTCTGTAACTCCAACTTCCAACTGTCCTCTTATCTATTCCTTGTAACTTTCTTTTTCTGATTCAAAACCGGTTTGGGAACATTTTATTTTAGAACTGAATTTATAATTGCTTTAATCACTCAGTGTCTTAACTGAAAAAAATCTTAGATAACATGAACAATTCTAAAGGTATTTAAAAGAGCACAGACCTAAATACTTTGACTTGAGTAATCAGGAAATCCAATCTTCCAAATCTTTTTAAGATGTTTTACATTTACCATCCTTGAGACTAATGCTCTTAAACTGGTTCTTACACTAATTTCTTAAATTGGTATAGCATTTTGTATCTGATCATATCGAGCTGATGCCATGACAACTTAAATAGTGTTGTTCATTCCTAGACAAGGGCTTTCCATTTTCTGTATGTTTTTTCTAAAAACTAGTAATGATTTCATGAATGTCTAGATGCCCAGTAGAAACAAGCAGCCACTCCACCTACCTGCTCATCACCATTGGTGGCATGCCCAGATTGTTTTGTGCCATCACTTTATTTATACCTTTAAGGGCCACCATTTTGGCTTTCATTATAGGATCTGTAATTGCATCAAAATCTAGAAAAGAAATATAAAGTTACTTATTTCATAGTAATTAGTTCAACGTACACTAAGAAGTAATTCAAATATTACAAGCTCTTAAATTTTATTATTTAATAATCATTACAGATTTCTGAGATGGCAACCTTATCCTGGGTTTAATCGCATCTCAGTAGTCCTTAACTGAATCATGCTTTAATACCTTAGTCCTGCAGGAATTAAAACAAAAAGTCAAGTTTAAGGGAGATTATAAGCAATAATCTAAAGCAATGCAATTAATTTCCTTTCATCCAAACTTTTGCAATGCTAATCAGAATGGCTTCTTTAGTAAATATAACATCACAAATAAGAATTTGCAATACTAAGGAATTCTACTAAATTAGTTATCACTCTTAAAAGAAAAATGCACCAATTTCTTAAGGGTATAACCTCTCAATAAGAAGCTACTACGAAAAAACCTATTTGCATCTAAATGAAAAAAAGGGAGCAAAATGATGAAATTGGGGATATATAAAATGGAATGTCAATTTTATTATTTAGAATAAGGCACACTGCTTAGACACGTGCCCTTTGATTGCTAATTCTTATTCTTAGAGGCACTGAGGCATTTTGACTGCATTGCTTTTGTTGTTTTTAGAATCAGTAAACCATTAGAAACAAGTTAAAGAGGTTTATATAGCAAAAAATCGCCAAGCATTTGTCATACACAAAAGGACAGTAAGAAGCTTTATTTCCATCATAATTTTCTTAAATTCATCCTTCCATGACTGAAAACATATGGCAACAATGGTTGGAATGTAGGAACTAAGAAGACAATTAGTTTCTATTAAACAATTCCATAAATAATAGAATTGAGGGAAGTTTGTAACTCAGTTTTGAATCTCTTAATTTACCTGGAAAGAATCTAAAACTCTTCGTTGTTTTCATTTTTTTTTTTTTGAGACAGAGTCTCACTCTGTCCCCCAGGCTGGAGTGCAATGGTGCGATCTCGCCTCACTGCAACTTCCGCCTCCTGGGTTCACACCATTCTCCTGCCTCTGTCTCCCGAATAACTGGGACTACAGGCGCACGCTGCTATGCCCAGCTAATTTTTTGTTATTTTTTTTTAATTATTATACTTTAAATTCTGGGATACTTGTGCAGAATATGCTGGTTACATAGGTATACATATGTCATGGTGGTTTGCTGCACCCATCAACCCGTCATCTACATTAGGTATTTCTCCTAATGCTATCCGTCCCCTAGCCCCCCACCCCCGACAGGTTCCAGTGTGTGATGTTCCCCTCCCTGTGTCCATGTGTTCTCACTGTTCAACTCCCACTTATGAGTGAGAACATGCAGTGTATGGTTTTCTGTTCCTGCATTAGTTTGCTGAGAATGATGGTTTCCAGCTTCATCCATGTCCTGTGTTGCCCAGGTTGGTCTGGAACTCCTGAGCTGAGGCAATCTGTCTGCCTCGGTCTCCCAAAGTGCTAGGATTACAGCCGTGAGCCACTGTGCCCAGCCAACTGCTTTCATTCTAAAGCTCAAGGAGGGCCAAGCAGGGTGGCTCACGCCTGTAATCCCAGCACTTTGGGAGGCCAAAGCAGGCGGATCACCTGAGGTCAGGAGTTTGAGACCAGCCTGGCCAACATGGTGAAACCCCGCACCTCTACTAAAAATACAAAAATTGGCCAGGCATGGTGGCACGTGTCTGTAGTCCCAGCTACTCGGGAGGCTGAGGCAGGAGAATCACTTGAACCCAGGAGGTGGAGGTTGCTGTGAGCCGAGATCGCGCCACTGCACTCCATCTTGGGTGACACAGTGAGACTCCGTCTCAAAACAAAACAAACAAACTCCTCAAGGAGGAATAGAAAAACTCAGTGCTTTATTCCAACTGTAATTCTAATAATAAAATCTTATAAGCATATCGCATGCCACTCTAATACCCATAGTAATATACGTTGAGACTCAAGAAAACTCCTACCAATATTAGGGAAGAACGGTTCTGATCGCTGACGAATCATGGCTTGCATCTGTCTTTGCTGCTGCTGTTCTTGCCTTTCTTGATCCAAAAGATCCTGTAGAAGTAGAGGCTGTTCTTCTAGAAGAAGGGGCCTCTCTCTATTCTGCTGTGCTAATGTTTGAGGAATCATTAGCTGTTGGGGTCCAGACATGCTACTGGTACCAGACTGACTTGTTTGAGGCCCAGTTTGAGTTGCAGGTTTTCCTGTCCCCAGACTGTGGTTAACTGTTGATTGACCTGGAATGAGCCCTGGGTTTACCTGCACACCCTGAGAAAAAACATGGTTTACCCTAGAGACTACTGTCACATTAGAATTCATGGCATTATCCAAAACACGGCCAGGCGGTGCTATGAAAGGAGGCAAACTTGACACATGATTGGATGGGGAGGCCGGCAGAGTTGGTGGTGGTGGAGACCCCGATGGCCTAATGTCTGAATTATCAGATTTCTCATTAGCAAGTAAACTTGAGAGAACTGGAGTTGATCCAGTTATGCCACAAGAGTTTATTACATCTTGAGCAGGTAGTTGAGTGGATGCCTGAATGACATTTGCACTGGGGCCAGCAGTTTCTCGATTGGTTCTTTTCTCAAATAGATCTGGATCACAAGGATGCAAAGAAGTCTTTTCTCCATCATTTAGGTCTGAGTGAGCAGAAGCCTGTGAGCAAGGAGTGTCAACATTATCTTTATTCTCATCATTTTTTTCAGTTTCACATTTGGATTCCACCTTAGAATTTGGAGACAGTACTTCCGTTTTTACCTCATTGGTAACAGTGGATTTTTTCTGTGGTGAATGTTTATCAGAGAGAACCAGAGTTTTGTTTTCTTGTTCCTTTTTTTTTGGTTCAACAGATACACACTGATTATCTAACTTATCATCAATTGGAAGGTCTAGTTCCTCATTAAACATGCTTTTCTTATCTCCCATGTCAAGTTCTGGATCTGTATATGCAATGATATCAAACTCTCCTGACCTTAAGAGGTCATCCAGGTTGGGATCATTAGTTTCCAAATTATCTAAAGTATCCAATTCAACTACCTTGCCATCCTCTGTATCTAAATTTAAGTTTTCAAGATCTTCATCATCTAAGTCTTTGACTTCAACCCCCTCAAGGTCTTTAACATCCAGTTCCTTCACAGAAGGGTCATCAGAATCAAGTTTTTCCTCTAGACCATCAGAAGGCTGGGTGGTTATCTGTAAATTATCAGACGTTGTTTCAGACGGTACAGATGTTGACAAAGGAGCTTCTGAAAATTCACCACCTAGTGGATGGTTCAGAGTCCTCATGACCATAGAAGATGAATGGACAGAATGACCTTGCTCTTGTTGAGATGGTGGCACTTGTTCCAAATCTGGGTGCACAGGTAGCTGATTAGGTAGACCCTGGGGAGGTCGTCGCATGGGGTCTGTGTGTCTAGGGCCCGGAAAGTCTGGCCGGGGAATGAAGTTTCCATGTCTCAGATTAGAAGATGCCTCTACAACGCTGCCAGGTGGAGCACTGAAAGGCAGCCGTTGCCTTCCGTCAGGAGCCCTATGTCTCAGTTCAATATATGCTTGGCCCAGTATGTTGTGCTGCTGAACTGGCAAGCTCTGTGGTGAAAAATGCTGAGGAAGTCCAACTGGATTATTCATTTGTGAGTTATTTAAAGGCCTAGGCATATCTACAGATACTGATCTTCTTAGCTGTGGAGAAACTCCAGATCCCTGTATTTGCTGAGGAGGCACAAGGAAGCGCTCTTGACTCGGCATGGTACCATGACTACCTCCTGGAAATCCAAATCTTTTAAAAAAAAAAAAAAAAAAAAAAAAAAAGCAAATAGGTATTATGTTAAATTTAGAGTTAAGTTGAAAAAAAGAAAAGTCTTCAATTAAACTGTACATACAAAATGTTGCCAAATACTATGACTTACAAAAGCAAAGCTATCACCATTAAAAAGTATTTACAGTATTCATATGCAAGTAAGATTTTGCTAAGAATCCTATAATGAACACCATATCTGAGCTCTAAAGGCTTAAGATTTAACAGATAACAAAAATGAAGACAAAGGAAGAACAACCAAGCAGATGAAATCAATTGTTCAGAGATAAGAACAATACTACTGGACTTTTTCAGGAAGAGTTTCTTTTATCTATATTTAGGGAGGTTCGATGGAGGAAGCTGATTCGGGGATGATGTTTGAATGAAGATAGGTCTTCATACCTATTGAGGGACTTACAGGCCTCAGTACATGAGACTACAAAGGCACAGGTTTGATGATGGGATAGAATAAACTTAGAGAAAAGGACAAGTAGGCCTCATCTATAAAGATTAAGTAAATGTATAAATTGTTGGACTATTTTATATTGTACTTCCTTCTAGACAGGATTACAGGCAACTTACACAGAATACAAAGCATAGCAAGAGGCATAAATTATAACAAGGTGGAAGAAAAAAGGGAAATTAAGAGTAAGATTACAGGCAACTTACACAAAATATAAAATGCAGAAAGAGGCATAAATTACAACTAAGGTAGAAGAAAAGGAAACTAAAAGAATATAACATGGAGGTAGAGATATAAGACTAAAAGACATAAAACTAAAAAGCATATCTTAAAGAACTATTTCCTTATTATAACTAGGGCATAGGTTTGGCTTTGACTTTAGCCACTTTGAAAAAGGAAACATTCTTATGATTCATCACCACTAACTTACAACCCTATCTCACCATGGAAAGTTCCTAAAGGGAAAGTCCTTTCAGTTCGGAAATCTCTAAAATTTATTATTATTATTTTTTAAATTGAGACAGAGTCTCGTTCTGTCTCCCAGGCTGGAGTGCAGTGGCGTGACCTCGGCTCACTGCAACCTCCACCTCCTGGGTTCAAGTGATCCTTTTGTCTCAGCCTCCTGAGTAGCCGCGAATACAGGTGCAGTGCCTGCCGCCATAGCCGGCCAATTTTTGTATTTTTACTAGAGGCAGGGTTTTACCATGTTGGCCAGGTTGGTCTCGAACTCCTGACCTCAAGTGATCCGCCCACCTCGGCCTCCCAAAGTATTGGGATTACAGGCCTGAGCCACTGCGCCCAGCCTAAAATTAATTTAGAATGTAAAGTTAAAAGGTAGAAATTTGGAGAGAGGACAAGTCTCATCACATCGTAGGAGGCTTTGCCTACGCAGAATAGCTACATTTTGAGGATGTCATATGATAAACTGCATCATTAAGGGTGCAAGGTAATGCTAACACAGTTAATACTTAAAAACAAAGGTAATGTTTTCAGAGTCTGTAGAGTTCTTAGAGGAAAAAAATGTCTATGACCTCTCATTAGCACTAAATAGCAGATTATATATATTTCAAAGGGGAGAAAGAAGTAGAAAGCAGTAACAGCTTCCTGATTAATACTAACTTCATTTGTCTATTTCTTTTAAAAAATTTTTAAATTTGTTGAAGAGGTTGGGGGGGGGGGGGGGTGGTCTCACTATATTGCCCAGGCTGGTCTCAAACTCCTAGCCTCAAGCAATCCTCCTGCCTCAGCTAGTAGCTAGGATTACAGGCACAAGCCACCACACCCAGCTCTGTTTCCCTCTTCTAATAGCAATTTAAATTCGGCAGGAAATTAAAAGCATTACCTAAATCCATGAGGTCTCATCCCCATACTAGCAACATCAGGAGGATAGGGTCCACGCTGATCTTTTGGGAAAACAGCATATCTAGGTCCTAAAGGAGGGGCAACAGGAGACCTAATGTTCCCAGGATAGGGAGGTGGGGGTCTGGTGAAAGCCTGGTTAACATTCTCTGGTTGCCAGTGTTGAAGAGGCCCTGGATGAGGCACTGCGGGTGAGTCCTGTGACCCCTTCTCCTGTCGACCTGCAATCTTCTTCTGCTGTTGCTGCTGGAGAATGATTTCACGTAACTTCTGCCGCTAAATGGGAAGAAACAAAAATCACTGGGATTTGTGGTAATTAATGGCTTTTTAAAGGTTACTGGCTTTTTATTTTTAGATATGGGATCTTGCTATGTTGCCCAGGCTGGCCTCAAATTCCTGGACTCAAGTGATCCTCCTGTCTCAGCCTCTCAAGTAGCTGGGATTACAAGCATGCGCCACCGTGCCTGACAGGTTAGTGGCTTTTTAAATCCTGATACTTTCATTATGTGGCTATGGTAATGTTTCAAAGTTTGATGAAATACCAGTTACATTTAACTATTCAATATATTAGGAAAAATAATTTGATGATTTGGGTCCTTTTCCTTGCCAGACAACTATCACAAAACAAAGCTTTAATATTTAAGGATTCCCCTGCGAATTCGTGAAAACTGAAATCAGATACAGAATAAATTAAACTGGTGTTAATTTCATCAATTTCATTTTTCTTTTTTGCAGTATGACAAACTCTACAGAATAAAAAAAATAAAACATTAACTCCTGTGTAGAAATTACTCAGTTTGATGAAATGAACAGCTTCCTCAAATAATACATTTAAAACTGAGAACATACAATGTGTTTACCTGTCTCAATTTCTCTGTATCTGCTTGGGCCATATTTACAGTATTCTGTGTATCAGTTACTCCTGAAGTTGGCACAGGTCCAGGAAGTTGGGAGACACCAGAGAACTGCTGGCCTTGGGAGTGCATTGGAGAGTTTGAAGATGCACAGAAGCTCCCCTCTGATCCAGGCCTTGGCTGATCAGCAACATCATGGGCAGTTTGACTTGTTCCAAAAGAGTCAGACTGAGATCTTGGAGTCATTGGAGACTGATCATAGGGATCACGGGCAGCAGATGGGGAAACACGGCTAAATGTGTCTGAAAGACCAGGTCCAGGGGGCCTAGGTGTCTGGGAACATGTATCAGGTGGCCTTACCAACGGGCCAGGTAAAGCTGGTCCTCGGTTTTGTGCTGCTTGCAGGAAAGGATCCTGATTTGGCATGAGGACTGGTCTTGTCATTGAGGACCTAGTAAAACCCTCTGAAATCCTTGGCCTTGGTGTTGCTGGTGGCTGAGAGTAAGGGACAGAAATTCCAGGTCTTGGTGTTCCAGGAGGATGAGCATATGGATCAGAATGCCTCTGATTTGTTACAGGTGTAACAAACAAGTCAGTTTGTGTAGATGGTCTTGGGGTTTGGGGCTGCTGACTATATGGGTCAACAGTAGTAGGCCGGGGAGTTCCAGGAGGTTGAGAGTAAGGGTCTGTATTGGACCTAGCTGTTCCTGAAGATTGGGAATAAGAATCTACAACAGGTCGTGGAGTTCCTGGGGGTTGGGAGTATGGGTCCTGAGATGTTGGCCTTGATATGGTTCCAGGCTGGGAAAAAGCCCTTGAAGGATGGGCAAAAGATTCATTCACTGCTGGATGTGGGGTAAGGGGAGGCTGACTATATGGATCATTTGACTGATTATGAGAAAAATTATCTATAGGTCTTGGTGTCAAAGCAGGCCTTTCATAAGGGTCAACAGACAATCGCCTTGATGCCTGTGACACTGATCCATAAGGATCCTGAGAGGATGGAGGAGGTTGCATTGGAGTCTTAAAAGGTCCAGGACCACTATCAAGAGGTGCAGGTGTCAACAAGGGTCGTGCATATGAGTCAGGTATCCTTTGTCTTTGAAACACATCTGCCCTAGGAGATGGTTTAGTAAAGTGATCACTGGTTCCAGCTGCTATAGGGCCTTTTGCAGTTTGTTCTGAAACTACAGGAGACCGGGATAGGCCCAAGGATTTGGGAAATTGATCTGTCATCACAGGCCTAGGTGTGTCTGGAGGTTTTGCATAGGGGTCATTATTTGTCGTGGAAGAAGAACATAAATCTCTGACAGGGGATGGCCTATTTGCTGTTGTCTCATTCATTTGAAGGGGCCTAGATACCGATGATAAAGGTGTACAGTTTTCCACTGGTGCAGCAGAATTTCTTCTGGAAAAACTATGGCCCACAGGAGGTGGTCGAGGGGTACCAACCATTTTTGCATATGGATCCATTGGAGATGGTGGTCGTGAGTTAGAGGACCCAGGTGAAAACACTTGCGGTGAGGGTGGCTGAGAAGTCTGAGCCTGAGAAAGACTATCCTGGATGGGAATCCGGGATGGGGCTGGAGGAGGAGGTGGAGCTTGTGGCTTTACAAACACATCATCTGAAGATGTAGACGTAGGGGTACTGGGTGGCTGTTTTGTAAACAGTTCTTTATGGAATGACTGTGCAGGAGACATATTTCCATTGCCAGGCTGAGGTGTCAAGGGACTCTGTATCCCACTACTTGGTGTATCTGAACCAGACTGCACCAGAAGATGCTGAGAACCAAATTGCTGTTGTTGCTGCTGCTGCTGCTCATTTTTCACCTGTTCAAGTTTCTGTGTGGCTTCAATTTTAGCTTGCTGCTTACTTTTCTGACGCATTTGCTATTAAAATAGAAAAGAAAAAGCAATCATATTTAGGTTAAGGAAGAAAACTACCATCATGGGGGGAAAAAGCAACAGAAAGTTAATTTGTTTGATGTCAGCGCTACCAGATTGCTCCCATATTAGATTATGAATTCCTGAAGAAGAGAAATTACTCATCATGGTATGTTCCATTTGTGCCTAGGGCAGTATATTGTTTATAATATTTCAATAAATTTCTCAAATCAATTTAAATATATTTTACTGAAAAGAGAAACAAGTCTATCCTAAATCAAATTTTCATGGTCTAAGAACTATATTCTAAAATAATAATGCAAAGACCTCCCTTCTCAAAACAAAAATGCAACTTCAAAAAGTAGATTATCCAAAAATTCCATACCTGTCTAAATTTCCATTCCTGTTCATGTTCTGATTCTCTTTGCTTTAAAGGATCTTTAAAAAGCTCCGAATCAATACGAGAGCTGGGATCAATGCTATCTTGCTGTTGCTGCCTTTTCATGGAATCATTTGACATCTGTACTTTATTAATGCGTAAAGCAGCTCTGTTATCTCTGGCTTTTTGCTTTGACAAAAGAAGAGAAAAAAATTTCCCAGATTATGTTAAATGTTTTAAGGAATAAAATAAAACTATCATGAACTTTCTCAAATAAAAGAAAAAAAAGTCAGGTAAAATAGCTGAAATACTTACGGCACCTCCCAAAAAAGGATCTGGACACTAACTCATCTTCTCTCTTTACAGTGCATAGTACCTATCAGTTGAGGATATATTTCTATGTATTTGAATTAAGCTTAAAGATCCTAGGTGTGATTTAATATTTTAGCTCCTAGTTTTCTTAACATATCCTTAGAAATTATGTCTCCTTCAATTTAGAAAGAAGGGGCTGGGGCCAGGCATGGTGGCTCATGCTCGTAATCCCAGCACTTCGGGAGGCCAAGGCGGGTGGATCACCTGACGTCAGGTGTTTGAGATCAGCCTGACCAACATGGTGAAACCCCACCTCTACTAAAAATACAAAATTAGGCCAGGCGCAGTGGCTCACACCTGTAATCCCAGTACTTTGGGAGGCTGAGGCGGGTGGATCACCTGAGGTCGGGAGTTCGACACCAGCCTGACCAACATGGAGACACCCCATCTCTACTAAAAATACAAAATTAGCCAGATGTGGTGGCACATGCCTGTAATCCCAGCTACTCGGGAGGCTGAGGCAGGAGAATCACTTGAACTCAGGAGGCGGAGGTTGTGGTGAGCCAAGATTGCGCCATTGCACTCCAGCCTGGGCAACAAGAGCAAAACTCTGTCTCAAAAAAAAGAAAAAGAAAAAGAAAAATCAGCCAGGCATGGTGGCACATGCCTGTAATCCCAGCTACTTGGGAGGCTGGGGCAGGAGAATCGCTTGAATCTGGAAGGCAGAGGTTGCAGTGAGCCGAGATCGCACCATTGCACTCCAGCCTGGGCAACAACTGTGAAGCTCCATCTCAAAAAAAAAAAAAAAAAAATTTAGAAAAAAGGAAAAATATCCAATCAGTCTTAAAAAAAAAAAAATCTGGATATTTGAAACGTATCATTAAAGAAATCACTTAAAAATTTAAAAATTCTGTCATTACCTAATTCAAGTCAAAATAAAACACAGCATATTAACACATCTATATATATATATGTGATAGAGCATATACACACATATATGCTCTATCCAAAATAATCACTGTAACTGAAAATATGTGCACTGGGGAACAAGCTGGAAAATAACTATATATATTTTCCAACAATAATACAGATTTAATATGCTTTAAAACGAAAGCAAGGATTTGGTTCCAGCTGACAATCTTAATTTGGCTCTTTGGGAGAAAATAATTTACCATATGAACTGCGAATCTTATAAAATTACCTAATAGTTCATGGCAAAGATCATGTGTCAAAAACTCTTTAAACATGTCTAAATATTTCTCTTTCAAGATGCACAAAGATTCTCTATGAAACCTAACAAGAAAAGAGGTGACTGTGGAAGACACTGAGGCATGCCAATCCAGTCTCCAAATTTAGTACAGTTGTCCCTCTGTATCCATGGGGTATTGGTTCCAGGATTCCCTGCAGATACCAAAATCCACAGATGCTCAAGTCCCTTATAGAAAATGTCACAGTATTTGCATATAACCTACACATATCCTCCTGTATACTTTCTCCCTTTTTATTTTTTGACCTAGCAGGGTGGTCTTGCTCTGTCACCTAGGCTGGAATGCAGTCGTACAATTCTGGCTCACTGAAGCCTCAACCTCTCAAGTCTCTCAAGTAGCTGAGACTACAGGCATGCGCCATCATACCCAGCTAATTTTTTCATTTTTTATAGAGATGAGGTTTTGGCTATGTTGCCCAGGCTGGTCTTGAACTCCTGGGCTCAAAGCCATCTGCCCACCTTGGCCTCTCAAACTGCTGGGATTACAGGTGTGGGTCACTGTGCCTGGCCCCTCCTGTATACTTTAAGTCATCTTTAGATTACTTGTAATACTTAACACAATATAAATGCTATGTAAATCGTTGTTACATTGTTTTAAAAACAATGACAAGGGAAAGAGTCTGTACAAGTTCAGTATAGATGTTTTTCCAAAATATTTTTGATCCATGGTTGGTTGAATCCACAGATATAGAACTCATGGATACAGACGGCCAACTGTACCTCTGCTGAAGAGATAAAACAATTTTAAAGTGAAATGAATTACTCCTTCCCCCCTAAAACAGCTGATTTTCAATCTTCAACGTTTTGGTTCTATTAACTTGCTTATAAAAATGTCACACTCTCTATTAAGACATAAGGAGTTAGAAAATCACTTTAAAAATAAAGTTGCTTGTTGTACAGGTACTAACAAGCATTTTCTGAAATGGAAATTTGTTTTTTATTAACCTAATACAAATAAGGTTCAAGCACTGTATTTAAATATTTAAAAGATAGAGGAGTTTCTTAAAATACCACATATGGTGCTCTTTCTTGTGAGCTTGCTTTTCTCCACAATTTGGCAATTTGCTTCACTCTAGTAGTCCAATCTGCAACAAAAGAACAGAGTA